>NC_000003.12:168554058-168705574 GCF_000001405.40 Homo sapiens | reverse complement strand
TTTAGCTAGATTTCTCAGTTTAATTAAATTAGACCAATTCAGTCCAAATTCCTAAATCTGTACTCAGACCAAAATATTTAAATATATATACGTATTAGAGTAAGCAAAACTATGCAATTTCAAGACAATTTTAACACGATCTGTTACGAGAAATGATCTACTTCTGTTAACCTGAAGGAAATGTTACTTCTTTTCTGATCGAATACTTCTGATATAGGATGAAACTGGGTTAAATTGCTATGATATTAGACCCTTATTCTGGAACTGTCACAAGTGATTTTCTTGGCTATCAAGATTCTGCCCAACAGAGTTAAGAATCAGAAATTTCAATATTACATTAAAATGTTATTATCAAGTATACTTCATGTGAAGAAATAATTTTTCAAAAACTCTCTGAGTTATATCTTCATGCTAGATGCTTATGGAAAGCCTTACTCTTAGAATTGGAGTTCCAGGACACTGCTGGGAATAAGGATAAAGTGGTTAGAATTTTCTCAGCATTACCACTGTGATATGGACCCAAGATTTCATGATTCTATGCTATAAAAGACTGTCAAAAAGAATAAACTATGTCTGCTA
Organism: Homo sapiens; assembly: GCF_000001405.40. NCBI lineage: Eukaryota > Metazoa > Chordata > Mammalia > Primates > Hominidae > Homo > Homo sapiens. Next base: position 168,704,995 of record NC_000003.12, on the reverse strand, counting down.
TTTTTCCTTTTATGTCCTTTCTCTAAATATTTTTGCTTTATGTATCCCTCAAAACTATTTCCTCAGATGGACATACAATATAATATCTTAAAAGAATGCATATTATTAGCAAATGTATTTTGTACTTAAGAGCTCCCTGAGATTGTTTCCAAACAATCAAAATCGTTTCATTTTTTTTTTTAGATTGTGTGACCATTTAACTGAGAACCAGAGTAAGATAAATTATTCTTCCTTTGCCTTTTAATATACTACTCTCAGATACTTGTTGATTGAAAATAAAGTGCTCCTAGGGTGCTTTATGTTGGAGATTGCACTGTAGAAGTATTAGGTTTGGAAGAAATATTGAAGAGTTTCATGAAGACTCTGCTAGGTTTTCCATGTGGCCTTATTTTCCTGTGTTCTACTATAGTGGCAATCACTCTATATATCAAAATTGCTTATTTCTTCCTTAAAATTCTGCAGTGCCTGATAGAATGAATTTCTTAAGGGGTTAAAGATCCCATTGACTTAAATATTTTCTGGCATAGATTTACACCCTATACATGTCATAGGGATGAATGAATGAATGAATGAGTAGTTTGAGAGTCATCCACACCATTCAATCTTCTAATGCATCTATACTCACTGATGGAATTTCTCAGAATTGGGCTCCTTGCCTCTGTTTACCCTCTTTTCACCCTCGCAGCAGACTCTTGATATTTATTTTTGACTACTCACAAGTAGCTTGAAACATCTGGATTACAAAATAATTTCTAAATCTTCTGATGAACAACTATGAATTGTGTCTGTAGTGAGTATTGACTGGTTGCCTGTTTGGGATTCATCCATTTTCCTTCTTTCATACTAAATAAACCTGGGGGTTCCCAGGTTTTCTTTAGGGAAATTTTACCTCTTTCACTTTAGAGATATTATGTAGTTTATGTGGGATTGATAAACACTGCCCCTCTTCCAAATCCAGAATGGGCTTTATTTGGCATAATCTCATCTCTATTTACCACAGTAATTTGATCAGGTAGTCCCTTCATGAGGAATGCATGAGGCTTTCTCATGAGGAATGCATTACTTCAGATAAGATCCAGTCAGTAGGAAGCTCAACATATAGGCTGGGGATCCTGGGACATAGATGCTCTCTTGCTGTGGAAACTATAATGTATGAATGTGAGCCATTTTGCATAACCACTTTGCTTCCATGAGTGAAGCTACACTAAAGATAAAGTCAATCAATACAGGACAAAACTGAAGAACTTACAGAGAACTGGAGTTGGAGCCCTGATTAAACTCTGCCTGAAGTCCTCCCTATCTCTGAACTTCTGTTAGGTCATCCAATAACTCCCTTTAATTATTTTTTAGTTCAATGACTCTGTTGCTTGCAAACAAAATTATCTTTACTGATGCATGTGGTAAACTGGAGCAGCTTACAGTGGGAGAAAATCACCAAGTGCAGCTCAAATGTAACATCTACTTTTTAAAAAGATTTGTTGTCCTCTAGCCTGTAAAATGACTTAATCTGTATTTCATAAAGTACATAAAAGTCATACTTTCCAGTTGTTCCCTACAGAATTTATTGGAGATATTATATTCTGTCAAAATTATAATGAATTTGATGGTTCATCTTGGTTCATCTTGACTACAAATGTTTAGTGTTTATAAAATTGCCTGTACAAAGTCATGATAAACCTGACAGTGGCAGGGATGGTAAAGCTGGCTTCTTGAATGGTTTCTTCATGGTGAATGATCTCTCCTTACTTTTTTTTTAAAATCTCATCCTTTATCCTGTGTGTTTCCTTTTGTTCTTTTCTTGGCAGCTACAATCTCTGGTATCTTGAAAGTCAGATCTAATTGAATAGGAAATAAATGCATGCTGGTAACTCTGTGGATTTTATTTCCCTAATTTCTGCTATTGCTGCAAATAAAAAAAAAAGTTACCAATTTTCTAGCACAGGCATTCACCAAGCAATAACAAAAACCACTTAGTTTAGAAAAGAGGCGAATAGGACTTTTGAAGAGAATGACAGTACTGAGAAGGAACAAAGCTTAAAGGACTTATCTTTTGCTAAGGATAGGAGGAGAGTATGCACGTTCATAGAATATGCAATTAGTTTGATCTCTCTAGAGGGAGAGTTAAAGTGGAAAAAGATTTTGCTAGAGATGTGGCAGGGGCCTGATCATGGAAAGTCTTTTATACTACATTAAGGAGTTATGACTTTACTTTATATGCAGTGGGCACTAACAGAGTGAAGAATAGATAAGAGGGGTGGCAGACTGAAGGCAGAGAAGCCAACAAATAACTATTGCCAAAATCCAGATGAAAGATGATGAGGACCTAAGCTAGTAGCAGAAGAAATAGAGAGATGTGGGCAGATATAAAAGAACTTAAGAAGAATAAATCAGTATGACTTGGTTATTAAGTGAATGTGATGGAGAAGAAAGAGTCAAGGTCAATTGCCTTGAATAATTGGATAGATGGTTGTGGCATTCACCAAAATAGCACAAGAGAAGAAACACTGCATATTAGATGAATAGATCAGTTTTAGAAATAAATATTTTGATGGGCAAGTACATAAGTCAAAAGACAAATTTTGTTATCTACTTGTTATTATCTCTCACGGCCAAAAAAAAAAAAAAAGAAGAAAAAGAAAAACGCTAGTTAAGCATCCTCCAGTAAGTGAGGAAAGGAGGACACTTACCTGCTCAGGAACTATATAAAACGACAGTTTAAATACATACTGGGTCCTTTCTCTCCACCTGTGTAAATGTGGCTCTGACTAGATGATGAAATATTATCAGTTTAAAGTTTCTGGTTTTATCTCTGGCTTGCCTGATCACCAAATCCATTTTCTTTTGAATTATCAAAAGAGATGAAAAGTTGGGGATATTATTAGGCAGTTGAATATGTGGACTAAGATCAGGGGAAAAATGTGAGCTGATTTTTCAACTACCATCTATCTACAAACACAAGCCTGAAACTTAGAAGTCATCCTTGACACTTTCCCCTCCTTCATACTAACCAACCTAATACCAAATTTCACTGTATCAAAGTTACCTTCTAACACGTGTCAAATCTTTTCATTTTTAATCTCCACTGTCACCACACTAATTTAAACTATATTGATGGTTGCAGTAACCTAATTACAGCTGTCTCCATGTCCACCATGGGACCCTCCAATATCTTCTATATGCCACACCACAGTGATCTCTCTGTCTCCCTCTACTACTATATAATAAATACATATATATACACACACACTAAATATATATTTACTATATACATATAAATTTAGTATACTTTAGTACTTAGCATAAAAACATATATCTACACACACACACATATATATATTTACTTATTTATTTACTAAAATCTGGTACCAGTTGAGTCACTACATTAACACAGTTTTATATAAATATATATACAGACTATATACAGTTATATATGGTATAATAAGTATATACTATATAGTATATTACTACATATAATTATAATATATACTAGTATATAATATAGTATACTCTATTTTACTACACTGATAATTTATTTAGTATATATAGCTGTGTTAGTGGAGTGGTTCAATTGGTACCAGATTTAGTGGGCTGGGTTGACAAAGAAGAGGGAGATAAAGGAAGAAAGACAGGGAATTAAGACACGCCTAGTAATAAGTTTGACTGTTAAGGAGAGGAGGTTGTAGTTGTACAGTAAAGTGTGGTAGTGGAAGAGGGGAAGTTTTTTAAGGTGAATGACACTTGCAGAAGTTTACTCATTGAAAAGGACCAACAGAGAGATGATTTAAAGATACAAAAGAGAAAGGGAATTCTCAAATTACTGAGACTCTCAAATGATAACACATTAGTGCATTCTAAAATAAAGTATATATTGGGAAAGAATTTGCCACAGGCCCTGATTATCCCTACATATTCTTGCTGTGTATGCTAAGAATTCAAGGCTCTGATCATCTTTACCCAAGCCATTTTTCAGGGCTATAGTTCCACAGAGAAATGAGCTAACATCTCCTTTGACAATAAAGAATAGACTTGTTTCCACTAACTATAAAAGTGGTAGATGCCCTAAGCTCAGTGTTTCCCTGGTATAATGTAACTAATTGCAGGTGCAGGCATCCATAATGGGCTGTTTGTGTGTCCTTGTTGTGAGAGTTGGGGGAACACGGGGAATTAACACAAACAAACGAAGGCCTGGCTGCTTCTTTTGCCATGAGTAATAATGTCTTTTGTTTCTGACCCAGGAATCTCATGTCTTCTGTCAGCAACTGTGAAACAGTAAAAGCTTGTTAGTATAAAAGCAGGGTAAAATCTCAAACATTGCACAGTTCTTGACAGTAGTATACAGAATAGAAATCACACCCACGGGCCAGGTGGAGTGGCTCATGCCCATAATCTCAGAACTTTGGGAAGTCAAGGCGGACAATTCACCTGAGGTCAGGAGTTTAAGACCAGCCTGGGCAACATGATAAAACCCCGTCTCTACCAAAAACACAAAAATTAGCTGGGTGTGGTAGCAGAGCACATGCCTATGTAATCCTAGCTAATGGGGGGCTGAGGCAGGAGACTCGCTTGAACCCGAGAGGGGGAGGTTGCAGTGAGCTGGAATTACACCACTGCACTCCAGCCTGGGAGACAGAGTGAGACTCTGTCTCAAAAGAAAACAAAAACAAAAACAAACAACAACAACAACAACAAGAATCCAAACAAACAAACAAAAAAAACACCCATGATCATCTACTACTTGGGGTTAGAGAGAGCACGTTCACTGCAGAATGGAAGGACCTGGGGAATAGTAGAGGATGTTCCTGTCTTCTTCTTGTTCTATCAATGCTTGTTGATTCCTTGTAGCCTTGAAATTATCAGTGAAGCATAATTCTGGGCAGATCTCTGTCTTCCTGAGGATTCAACCACTTGATCCTTTGTGTTAACTCAGAATGGGGAAGGAAAAGATGTCATGCTGGTGTGTCTTTAGGTGATTTCTAAAGAACAGCAAGGACACAAATACCCAACCCAGGAAACAACAACTATTGTACTATATTCTTAGCTTGCTGAGTGCAGAGATGGTATTCATTTTTCTTACCACTGTGTTTCTAGTACCTATTTCATTGCTTGGTCCATAGTAAGTGGGACAGCCTTGGGACTTTGTACAGCTCTGGGTCACTGGGGAGCTGGGGGAGCAGGATGAGGCTCCACAAGCTGGGAATTAAAAGTCAGAAATGGTGTTCAGGAATCAACCTCTTTTTCTTCCATCTCTCCAACGGACCTTACTCCTTCTAACTGACTCCACTCCACATCCCAACCAAGCTGGTCAAACTAACTAAAATAACCTGGTTATTTCTTAACACACAGAAACCTTACAGTTTATATTATGCTTAGGAGTTTGATAAAAACTGTAATAATGATGAATGAATACTGACTCCGAAAGGCTCTAGTAATGCATTTACCTGCACAGAACTTTTTTACTCCTTTCTTTTCCCTGATTATAGAACTCCTCATATGTATGCTGGGATGAAGTGGGGGGCTATTCCCATTCCCGTGCCCCAGGACCACCACAAAGTCACAGGGCAGGCACAGGGGCCCTGGCTGAGACAACCTAAGTGTGGGTGGCAAGCCACTCAGGTGCCGAGGCAAGAGACTGAGGACACGAGCTGTTCCAGTATAATAAAATATAAAACAAGAAGAGTTATACCAGATATAGATCTCAGATATGATTATATATGAATATAATTAATCATTAGTTAGTAGTACTTATTCTTTATTCCAATATAATAATAATCCTCGCTCTATAATCATAACCTAGGAAAAACCAGGCCATACAGAGATAGGAGCTGAGGGGACATAGTGAGGAGTGACCAGAAGACAAGAGTGCGAGCCTTCTGTTATGCCCAGACAGGGCCACCAGAGGGATCCTTTGTCTAGCGGTAACGGCAGCGTCTGGGAAGACGCCCGTTGCCAGGCGGACCGTGGTCTAGCGGGAGCGTAAGTATCAAGGAAAAACACCCACTACTTAGCAAACCGGGAAAGGGAGTCTCCCTTTCCCCGGGGGAGTTTAGAAAAGACTCTACTCCTCCACCTCTTGTGGAGGGCCTGACATTAGTCAGGCTCGCCCACAGTTATCCAGAGGCCTGTCTCCCTGTGATGCTGTGCTTCAGTGGTCATGCTCCTAGTCCGCCTTCATGTTCCATCCTGTACACCTGGCTCTGCCTTCTAGATAGTAGTAGCAAATTAGTGAAAGTACTAAAAGTCTCTAATAATGGTGTAAATTGTTTCTCTCTTTGTCTCTTTCTCTGCCTCGGCTGCCAGGCAGGGAAGGGCCCCCCATCCAGTGGACACGTGACCCACATGGTCTTACCTATCATTGGAGATGGCTCACTCTCCTTATCCTGCCCCTTTGTCTTGTATCCAATAAATATCAGTGCAGTCTGGCATTTGGGGCCACTACCGGTCTCCGTGACTTGGTGGTAGTGGTCCTCTGGGCCCAGCTGCCTTTTCTTTTATCTCTTTGTCTTGTGTCTTTATTTCTACACTCTCTCATCTCCGCACACGGGGAGAGACCCACTGACCCTGTGGGGTTGGACCTACACCTGAGGACTCCATCTTTTTAGTCACATTCAGTAGATCAAGAAAGGGCATGTGACCCAAGCCAAATGAAGTAAAATTCTATCAGGGACTTTTGCTAAGGCTGTTAGGAAACAAACAAACAAACACCACTACCTTTTCTCTGGAATCATCCATTACAAGAGACAGTGAAAACTTTCAGCTTCCAGGGGATGTGTTTTCCACCATAGGATGAGTCTACCTGAGAATAAAGACAACCTAGAGAAAGGTAGAATCAGGAGATGAAAAGAGACAGCCCTCTGAAGATAGCGTTTATGTGCCTGGATACAATTCTGCCTGAAAGCTGGGTAATATCTGCATTTTTCAGTTACATATTATAATACTTCCTCCCAAAAAACAACAGCAGCAATTTAAGCTGATGTTAAGTAAATTTCACTCAGTTACAACCAAGAGTCTTGATTAATCCAGGGTTATCTCAAAAATGAGCCCACCATCCTGGATGACTCAAAGAGCATCTTTAGAGAAATGCATCTGCTATTCCATATTCCTGACATAAGACAAGCCACTGCTTTGTTCTTCCTAAAACCCTATGAGACAGGAATTATTATTCTCAGGATATCTCTAAGTCATTGTTCATGTTTATGTTGAGCCAGTAACTGTATGCTTTGGGTAATATTTTGGGAGCTCCCATATGCTATGACAACGAAAATATTTATCAGAGCAGGTAAACATTGTTGACTGTTACTCCATCAGGCCTGTCTACAGACTGTTTTATGGCCAATGGTTCTACATTCTGGGTAATCTAAGAAAGAGGAATGGCAGGTAGGGAACTGGTATGTTTTGGCTTCCTACCTTGTTTCAGACTTTAATTATTTTTGTCCCCTTTTGTCCTCCCTGAAACTTTAAAAGATAAGAATTACTATGAATTTTAAAGATAATGAAATGATTATAAGACTCCAAGAAATTAGGAGATATGCACAAGTCCTGTTAGTGATGGATCTCAGATTTGAATTAAGATAAAAAGTCAGATAACTTTGAGTCTGTGGTCAACATTCTTTTAAATAAGCATGCTGTTCATGTTTGTGACCATTGCTGATTCAATAATTTTTGCTTTGCTCAGATGAGAATAGCATAAATGGCTAGATGACAAAATGTCTATGGAAGTTCTGATAACAATTTCCTTTACACAGAACCCTTCCCCTCTCTCTCCTTCCATTTATCCCACCAAATGCCTGGTTTGTTATCTAATTCTAGCCACTAACCAATCAGGTGTCAAATGATTAACTAGACAAGAGAAACATCCTCTTCACACAGCGAGAGACAAAGAATGACTAAGATGGATGGGAGAGTTGACGGGAAGGCCGACATAACTATGATAGACCACTCCACATGATTTTACTTATATTGTCCTGTAGTTTTAGTTTGTATTTTTATGAAAAGAAATAATTTCCATGTACCAAAACAAATAGAATGATGTATACTTCTTGATTTTCATGGCTGATTTCATGATACTTCATGTTCTATAACATTTATTACATATTGTTTTTCCTTTTGGGATACTAGATTATCATTGGTGGCAGAGAGATTATAAACTGTGGAAGAGAGGTTGTCTTACGAGGACTAGGCATGTACTTCTTCTCTTCAGTAATCCATATATCCCTTTCCAACTTATGTTCATGCATTTGACTACTTACCTTTTATTTTATATTTTAAAATATTTTGCTCTGTTATTACTAGTCATACAGTCTTCTCTCTCCCCCCCTCTTTTATTTCTCTCTCTTTCCCCCTCTACCTCTACAATGTTTGGTGAATTTTATCCAAATATAAGCTTAGTATCCTTTTCAGCAAAATGTAATAATCAACTAGCTATTTTTGCAGTCAGTTAGAAATCAGAGGTCTGTATATTCTGAATGCCTAAAGACATATTATTTAGGGAAATCTGACATACTCCTCAAATTACCTTCCTATCCTGTAAGATTTCTTGTTTCTTTCACAGGTAAGAGGATAGAATTTCCAGGAAAGTGTAGGAGATATGAAACAACTATGTTTTCTTTTTTTTGTTTGTTTAAGAAAAGATAGCAATAATTTCTACTTGCTTGTTTTAAAGAAATCTTATTACTTTCCCCCCACTCTTAGATTCAAAAACACATCAGTGACCTCAGTTTTTATTGATTTTTCTCTTCACGATGAGTCATACATCCATGCTTTCTTGCATGCTACTAATTTTTCATTGGATTCCAGACACTGAATTTTACTTGTTAAACGCTGGACAGCTCTGTATTCCTCTAAATATTATTGAGCGTTGCTCACAAATGTAGTTGTTTCTTGGAAACAGTTTGATCATTTTGCATCTTGCTTTTAAGACTTGCTATATAAGACATGAATAGTTTTCAGTCAAAGGCTAATAATACCAAGGAAAGCCATTGACTATTCATTCTAGTGTTTTGTGCGTTTTAAGGTTTTCTTGTCTGGTTGATGAGAAGAGGGACGATTCCTATCCTTATGTGAGCATTATTGGCAACTGTTTGTTCTCTCTAATATTTTTGAGTGCTCCTTTCTCCAGCCTTGTGTGACTTCCTCACATGCATGTGTTGATCAGTACTCTGTTAATACTTGAGGAAAACCCTCTGCTAAGTTTTGTGTCACTATCATAGCTGCCCACAAGGTGCAGATACGAGCCTGCCTGCAGGCTAAAACACTTAAAAATGGGAAAATCACTGTACCCTCTTCTTCCAACTTGATTTCCTTCTACAATCTCTCTATTTTTGTGCTGTCAGGTAATTTAAAACAAAATAAACAACTATGTAAATATTGAGTTTATTGTTATTTGTGAGAGTTTCATTCTGATTGGAGCTTATACAGCCATTCTAAAAGTGGCACTTTCCCTTCCACTTAGATAATACCTTTGTAGTGTTGCCCCCAGATCTTCACTCTATCACATTACCAAATACATAGAATTTAGTGACTGAGAACATCAACAAAATTAGTTGTATACCAATTAAAATATATAAAATTATAAAAGTGGGACTCAATTAAAAATTCACATCATTTTCTTCTAGTAGACATAATCTGTTTTATTCTTACATCAGTGAAAAATGCCAATTGTTGATTCTTTGTAAAATTATTTTAGAGAATTAAAATATTTAAACATCCCTTATTTATCAAATGATGTTGTGATTATTGATTTCATGAGAATAGAATTTGTCTTTCATTTATTCTCAAATATTAGCTGTTACAGTGTTTCTTTAGCTCCGTCACCCAGGCTGGAGTGCAGTGGCGCGATCTCGGCTCACTGCAAGCTCCACCTCCCAGGTTCACGCCATTCTCCTGCCTCGGCCTCCTGAGTAGCTGGGACTACAGGCACCTGCCACCACACCCGGCTAATTTTTTTGTATTTTTAGTAGAGACGGGGTTTCACCGTGTTAGTCAGGATGGTCTTGATCTACTGACCTCGTGATCCGCCCACCTCGGCCTCCCAAAGTGGTGGGATTACAGGCATGAGCCACTGCGCCCGGCCTACGGTGTTTATTTTCAATGAATATTTGTTGAGTGAAAGTAAACCACTGGTTATATACTTGACGAAACAGTGAAGTTTTGACTTCATTTTGTCACTCTTTGGATATTGTCTAATTAGGGCTTCCTAGACCTTAAAATGTACCCAAACTACCTAGGAGTCTTGTTAAAATGATTATTCTGATTCTATAGGTATGGGGTAGGGCCTAAGAGTCTGCATTTCTAACAAACTCCAGGCGATGTTCATGTTGCTGGTCATGGATCACACTTTGAGTTTCAAGAGCATAATAAGTAGTACTTAAACTTGGGTGCATAAGAATAACTTGGGAAATTAGTTTAAAATGAAGATTCTTCAGACTTAAACTCCACATTTTCTGATCCAGCAGTTTCAATGTACTGGGATCTGCATTTTAGCAAGCTCTCCAGGTGATTCTGATACTGTATTCTAAGGACCACACTTAGGAAAAGATCTAAACTGTAAGATTTAAGGTAACTGTATATTAAAAGTTCCCAAATAATTAAGAAACTAAGTAGTTTTTCATTTACTTAATGCCTCAAATACAGGCTAAGGTTTAATAACAAAATAAAAAGGATGCCTGAAATTCGCTCTTTATTTATATTACAAAAGCTTGAATTTGCTTTACATGTTTGTGAAGATAAATTGTGTCACTTCTAATGCCATTTGTTTTTTTCTCCTAGTAAGAAATTTTATTAATAACACTAGAAATCTCACTGATTTATCCAGTTGCAGGCTTTGAAAGGACCTTAGAAGATAAACTACTCCAAACGATACACTATAGGAGTCGCTTCATCAACATTTTTAACAAATGGCTATTCAGACTCTGATTAAATACTTCCAGCTGTAGGGAGCTTGCTGTTTTATGTTTCCTATGTCTTCCTATCCCTCCTGCTGCTACTTCTCCTCCTCCCTCTTGTCTTTCGGTATTTATGTAACATAACCACATTACACAACATTTGAAAGGGGGTAAAATCCATAATTATATGGTTTTTGAATCAGAGAAAAAGAGATACTTTAAAACATAAAAAATTGCATATAGAAGATAGAATGAATAAAACAATGCAATATTTTGCTAATTAATTTATGTAGTAAAATTGGTGCCTCTCTTTGATTTGTACTTTATTGCTACCAAGAATAGACATTTTATGTTTGTTTACAAGTTACACAGTTAGTGAGATGTCTGTTTATGTTTTTCACCTATTATTAAATTACATTCTACTGTTCTTTTTTCTACCTTTCTTTGTCTGATGTTTACCAAAACTAAAAACACAATCTTTTTTTTCTTCTTGCCAACAGCTTTTAACCAAACCTCCAAGAAAGATCAATTTAATTGAAAGTGCACCTCTAGACTACCTAGGACTTAAGCATTTAATTAAAAATCCATTAAAATAATTGTATTCCCTTTTAATGTAGTCACTTAACCTGTAGTTAAATATGACTTCTAATATTATAAAGTAGCTCATATATAATCGGATGCTATATTGCTTAAAATAATTCCAGAAACATTAGCACTTATAAATTAAGTATAAATGTGCTGAATTCAAAACCCTAAAGTTACTGTGCACAAAAAATTGGTGCACTGATTATATTTTAATGTCCCAACTGAAACGAAACAATATTTCTTTTTCTCATTGATGTTGTTAATCTCAGTCAAAAAATTAGAACTAAAATAATGTAATCTAGAGATCTTTCCATTTCGAAGTTTAAGAATAATCTAAAATGTTTTCCTAGAATTTATTTCCTAGGGAATTAATTTATTGATGACAATATAGGTACATATAGCAAAGCAAATGAATAAAATTAGACATAAAATAAAACAGTCATGTGGCAAATGACTGAATTTTATCTCTAGACAAAAGCATGAAACCTTTTCATTTTTGAGTAGTTCAACACCAAAAGACTTAGCCCATTTCTCCATCTGACCCCAAACTTCCATTTGACAACTTACCTCTCCTTTCACCGTGGCTCCCAATTCATCATTCCCTCAAGTACTTACCTGTTTTCACCCAGCCAGGATATCATGCTGTCCCCACTGGCTCTCCAGAATCCCTTCCCCTGATCCTATTATTCAAGTACTGTGGCATTTCTGACTGATACCCACTATCCACTAGGGCCAACTTATCCATCAGGTACTGTGCCTAAAACCCACAATACTTTTAGAGGCCCACATATATGTTTTAATATCTTTAAATCAGAAGAAAAAAAATTTAAGGTTGAAAAATATTTTCATATATAATATTAACATATTCACCCTTATACCAATGCAGTTATAAATCATACATTTTAGTTTTTTACTATGGAGAAAGAGGTCCAGTAAAATGAAAGTGCCAAGTGCCCAGGGCCCACAATAATCATAATGTGGCTCTGCCATCCACTTATTCTGCTTTAACTCCAAAGACACTCATGAATTACAGCATTATTGAAGGAACTATGTATTATTTACCATTCAGCACATGTTGATTCCCTATTGAATTCTGCAGAATGACTATTCTAAGCTTTCAATATGTGCTGCCCTTAAGATACATCCTCACACACACACCCCACACACATGCACGTGTGCACAAACACAACATATACTCAGCACTAGCTTCATGAACAAGTGACTGGTGCTGGGGGCCCTGAACTTAGAAGGGCCCTGAACTTAGAAGTGTCCCATGCTCAGGGTTTGATGGCCCCTGCTCACCGTCTTGAAATATCTATTAATTTTATCTTGGAATTTCCTTTTATCTTGGAACTTCCTTTTAGTCAGGTGGGACAATGGAGCATGCACGAGGGACTTGGAGCCTCAGTTCATGCACAATTCCACCTCCTCGCATCTCTTCTCTCCTCAGGGCTGCCCATCATCCCTCTCCCCACTGCCAATCAGAGACTACTGTTGCTCTCTGCTTCCCTCACCCCTTTGTGAGGGAATGGGCACAGTTGCAAGAGGGCCAAGGTGGTGGACGTTCTCCCTGGTATTTCTGCAGATTATGGCAGCAGCCAGTCTCAGTTCAGGTCACAAAGCATTTGAAGGGTGACATAGTAGGGGTGACCCTCCCACTGACCCTCTATCGATTCAGTACTGTGTGAGTCACAGCTCAGAGGCTGCAATCCTTTGGGTTCCGTCCATCCATTGTGGGGAGAGGAACAAGCTGGTAGGGAGGGAAGATTGGCTTTTCTGCCCCAAATGAGGGCAGTGTGCTGGTGCTCAAACACTCCTGAGCCGAGTTGCAGGGCACCTGTGAGTCTCCACACCCCTTCCCACTATTAGTATCCCGATGTTCAAAGAGCACAATAACAAATGAAAAACACCATGACAGGATGAAAGAGAGAGAGAGACAATAAAATATGTTTTCTATTTTATTATCTTTAACAAATCTTTCCTGCCTTTTGAACAAGGGGACTGTAGTTCTTATTTTGTATTGGTCATCCTGAACACACTTCTCACTTTCCAGGAACTGGGAATCTTTGGATTTTTTTTTTTTTTTTCAAATGGAGTCTCACTCTGTTGCCCAGGCTGGAGTGCAGTGGTGCAAACTCGGCTCACCACAACCTCTGCCTCCCGGGTTCAAGTGATTCTCCTGCCTCAGCCTCCTGAGTAGCTGGGACTACAGGCACGTGGCATCATGCCTGGCTAGTTTTTGTATTTTTAGTAGAGATGGGGTTTCACCATGTTGCCCAGGCTGGCCTTGAACTCCTGACCTCATGATCTGCCCGCCTTGGCCTCCCAAAGTGCTGGGATTACAGGCATGAGCCACCATGCCCAGCCTCCCTTTTGATCTTATTGTAAACCTTGGCTAGGTAGTGAAGACTCTCCTAACTTCCCTCTTTGTGGCACAAAATGCCTTGTTTCCACTCATTTTCTTTTCCTTGCCATGGGTCCTAAAGTAAATTTGACAAGATTATGCCTTCCATCTGATTCCATTTCCATCCTTCAGGCTTCATAACATCAGTTACTCCCTTCAGCATATATCTTCCTCACTCCTTTACCACTGGTTATTTTTCCTTGTCTTCCATTTTGCTCACTCTGTTCCCTCATTCTGCTCCCTCCTCCAACTGCAAAAGCCAGTGGTCCCCCACTCAGTCTCTGCTCCATTGCCACCATTTTCTGCTTATGGAAAAATGGAAAGATCACTCCAGATGCAGGGTTTTAAATGAGTTAGGGCTCCTTCAGCAGTTCAGCCATCCTGGCCATTGTGCTGCTAACACTGCTTTATCGAAGGATACCTGTACCTCGCCTATTCTATCAAACTATCGACCTTTATGTCAGAGTTTCATGAACCAATGTCTGAAAGTTATTGGTTGTTTGCTGAAAACTATTAATATGTTGGCAAATTCCCATTTCCAGTGTGTTCCTAATGTCTTCAGGATGGACAGCAAACTCCTCACATCCAAGCTAGTTCTCCAGCTCTGACCCTCCTTCCAGACTAACATCTCACTACTTTGTTTTCTGTGCTCAGGGCCTGAATCAAACTGTCACTTATTATTGCAGAGGCTGTTTGCTAACTCTATGCCCTAACTCATTTAAAACCCTGCATCTGGAGTGATCTTTCCATTTTCCATAAGCAGAAATTCTACAATTTTTCATGTCCCAGCTGAGATTCTTCATCTTTCATAAAGACTTCATTAGATCTAGAAGTAAATGACCCCTGGCACTTACCATAATATCTTGGGAATAGTAGATACCCAAGAAAGATGTATTAATTAAAAATGAATAATAATATACATACTTGGTAACAAAATAACTTGCTTAACCTAAAAGAGATATAATAAAAAAAATCCACTTATCAAGAGACAAATCTTTGATCCCAAAGAGGCAGTGGTACCAAGAATATATTTGGCGGATGTTAGAAATATTTCAACAAATGTCACAGGATGGACCAAGATTTAAGTCATTCATTTTTAGAGAGTGTATCTGATTCCAAAAGGGAGAACTCTGTTAGCACCTGATGTGACAATGTTAGAAAAATACATTTTCAGGCTTATCATTTAAGAGTTTCTGACTGCAGGCAAACAAGACATAGATGAGGTTCTCAGTGAGAATTGAACAAGGAAGATAAATTTGTAAGGGCTGAAGTGCTTTAGTAAAGAAACATGCGTCTAACCCCTGTGCTCTTTCTTCCACTACTGTTCTGAACGTGATTTTGTGGATTCACAAAGGCAGCACAAATGAAAGAGATGGAAAAGTACAGGCTAGTAACATTCAAAAGGAAGCAAAAGCTGTCTGGATTCAGGCTGATAACGCTGAATTTGTATAGGGATGGATTCTCTTGAAATTTGCACTTGATGCTCAAGAGGCTGTACCAAGAATTATCAGCAATAAGAAGGCACTCTAATTTAGCTTATGAAGCAGTTATTGCTGTGGTTGAATGGACATTGATTAGAAATTGGAAGAATGTGCTGTAGTAGGTCAGAGTTTTATCATGTATGTTTCAAAAATTGGAAGTTCAACCCAAAATATAAACTATATTTAGAGGTAAACTTTAATTTATAAGATTGTACCTATTTATGATGAACCTGGCATTTGCTCTTATATAACGTTGTAGAGGAACTTGCATTCTCAGAAAAGAGAAAAAGCACAGAAGAAGCTGCTTCAGAGAAAAGGAAAATATAGACGAGAAGAACATAAAGTTACTTTAAAATACATAATAGAAGATTTATTTTACAATTAATATTCTACTCAAAATATTAAAATAAAAATGAAATATTTAAACTTTTGCAAAATATAATAATCAAATGTGGAGAAAAAAGGAATAAACAAAATAATACAAAATTACCTATTTAATAAAATTAATTAACTGTAACAAGTTAAATATATCTTAAATAACACAATTTATATTCTTTTACATGCTTATATATAAATGGTAACTTTACCCTACAGAATATTGTGCAGCAGTTTGAAAAAATAAGTTTTATTTCAATGTGCTGGAATGAACATATATCTATGTCATAATACTAAGTCAAAGAGAAAGACAGAAAAGAGTCCATGCCCAATATATGTGACATGACATAGATGACTGTGTGTGTGGATATATAGATATACATGAAAGAGAGAGAGAACCCCTTATCTGGAATGCTTGGAATCAGAAGTGTTCTGGGTTTCAACTTTTTCAAATTTTGGAAAGTTTACATTATACTTACCAGTTGAGTATCCCTAATCCAAAAATCTAAAATTGAAAATGATGCAATGAGAATTTCCTTTGAGCTTCAAAAAGTTTCAAATTTTGGAGCATTTCATATATCATATTTTCAGATTAAGGATACTTGGATAATCAACCTATGTGTGTGTGCATATACGTGTGTGTGTGTGTATGCATCTAAGTAAATGTTTTGAATCTATACACACACACATATACATATATATTTTAGAAGGAGACCACTAAGACTAAGGATGCCCACAGAAATGATAACAGCAGTTAAATCTAGGCAATGGGAAGGGTGAGCACAAAAGGCAGAAAAAGTTACTGAAGAAATAATTTCACTTCCTCTTTATTATACGTATTATAATAAGAATGCATTGCTTCTGTGCTTTTAAATTTACACGAATTGTGTCTCTAAAACTGGACATCTGAAATCACCAACGGCATGTTGATGCTAATCTCTATCAGACAGTGAATATATAACATATTCTATATATAATAACATTGCTGCAATTACGCCTTTCCAGGGTTTTCTTTAACTTCTTCACTAACTTAAGATGAGCTAGAAGCAAAGCCAATTGCCCACATTTCAGAATCTAAACTTCAGAAAAAAGCATCATTATTTACCACACAGAAAATTTTTTAATTTTTTTTTTTTTTTTTTGAGACCAAGTCTCGCTCTGTCACCTAGGCTGGAGTTTAGTGGTGTGATCTTGGCTCATTGAAACCTCTGTCTCCCGGGTTCAAGCAATTCTCCTGCCTCAACCTCCCAAGTAGCTGGGATTAGAGGCGTGTGCCACTACACCCAGGTAATATTTGTAGTTTTAGTAGAGATGGGGTTTTGCCATGTTGGCCAGGCTTGTCTCGAACTCTTGACCTCAGGTAATCTGCCCTCCTCAGCTTCCCAAAGTGCTGGGATTACAGATATAAGCCACCATGCCTGGCTAGGTTTTAATGTATTTTTAAGTACCTGCTCCAAACATGTGGTAGAGTAAGTTATATCTGATATCTACACCACCATACAAAAGTACCTCAGAGATATTGCAGGTTCAGTTCCAGACCACTGCAATAAAGTAAATATGGAAATAAAGTGAGTCACATGAATTTTTTGGTTTCCTAGAGCATTAAAGATTATATTTATACTACACTGTAGTCTACTAACTGTGCAATAGCATTATGTCTCAAAGACAATGTACATACCTTAATTAAAAATACTTTATTGCTAAAAAGTGCTAATGATCATTTGAGCTTTCTGTGAGTCATTATCTTTTTCCTAGTATAGGGTCTTGCCTTGATGTTGATGGTTGCTGACTGATCAGGGTGGTAGTTGCTGAAGTTTGGGGTGATGGTAGCAATTTCTTAAAATAAGACAACAAAAAAGTTTGTTACATCAATTGACTCTTCCTTTCATGAAATATTTCTCTGTAGCACACAATGCTGTTTGATAGCATTTTACCCACAGTAGATCTTCTTTCAAAATTGGAATCAATTCTCTCAAACCTTGCCATTGGTTTATCAACTATGTTTATGTAATATTCTAAATGCCCTGTTGTCATTTCAACAACGTCCACACTCTTTCAAGATTCCTTCTCAAGAACCCACTTTCTTTGCTTATCCGTAAGAAGCAACTCCTCATCCGTTAAAGTTTGGTCATAACATTGCAGCAGTTCAGTCACATCTTCAGGCTCCAAGTCTAATTCTAGTTCTCTTTCTATTTCCACCACATCTGCATTTACTTCCTCCATGAAGTCTTGAACTCCTCAAAGTCATCCACAACAGTTGGATGAAGTCTTGAACTCCTCAAAGTCATCTACAACTTATTCCAAGCTCCTGTTCATGTTCATATTTTGAATTCCTCCCATGATCACAAGTGTTCTTAATGGCATCTAGAATGATGAACTCTTTCCAAAAGATTTTAAATTTATTCTTCCCAGATCTATCAGAGGAATCACTACTTATGGCAGCCATCGCCTTATGAAACATACTTCTTAAATAAATAAGGATCATTGTCCCCCTTGATCCACACGCTGCAGAATGGGTGTTGTGTTAGCAGGCATAAAATCATTAATCTATTTGTACATCTCCCTCAAAGCTCTTAGCTAACCAGGTGTATTGTCAATGAGCAATAATATTTTGAAAGAAATCCCTTTTCCCTGAGAATTGTCTCAACAATGGGCTTAAAATATTTCATCAACCATACTGTAAACAGATGTGTTGTCATCAGGCTTATTTGTTCCATTTATAGAGCACAGGCAGAGTAGATTTAGCATAACTCTTAAGGACCTTAGGATTTTTGGAATGGTAAATAAGCATTGGCTTCAACTTAAAGTCACCAGCTGCATTAGCCCCTAACCAGAAACTCAGCCTGTCCTTTGAAGCTTTGAAACCAGGCATTGACATCTCTCTAGCTATGGAAGTCCTAAATGGCATGTTCTTCCAATAGAAGACTGTTGCATCCCCATTTATAATCTACTTTTTAGCATAGACACCTTTATCAATTAGCTTAGCTCTACCTTCTGGATAATTTGCTGTTGTTTCTCTGTCAGCACTTGCTACTCCACCTTGCACTTTTATGTTATGGAGACAGCCTTCCTTAAACCTCATTACCCAAGCTCTGCTGGCTTCCAACTTTTCTACTGTAGCTTCCTTACCTCTCTCAGCTTTCAAGAAATTGAAGACAGTTAAGGCTTTGCTCTGGATTAGGCTTTGGCTGGAGAGAATGTTATGACTGGTTTGATCTTCTATCCAGATCAATAAAACCTTCTTCATACAGCCTTAAGGTTTCTTATGATTCATGTTTTCATTGGAGCAGAACTTTTAATCTCCTTCAATAACTTTTTTTTTCTTTTTTGCATTCACAACTTAGCTAACTGTTTGGTACAAGAGGCTTTTGACATGCCTTTCTCACTAAGCTTCATCATTTCTAACTTTTGATTTAAAGTGAGAGACATGTGACTCTTCCTTTCACTTGAACACTTAGAGGCCATTGTAGGGTTTTTAATTGGCCTAATTTCAATATTGTTGTGTTTCAGGGTATAGGGAGGCTTGAGGAGCAGGAAAGAGATTGGGGAGCAGCGGGATGGTGACGTAGTCAGAACACACACAACATTTATTGATTAAGTTCACCATCTTATTTGGGCATAATTTGTGACGCCCCCAAACAACTATATTTATATCGAAGATCACCGATCACAAATTACAACAGACATAATAATAAAAAATGTTGAAATATGGCTAGAATTACCAAAACATGACACAGAGACATGAAGTGAGCACATGCTATTGGGAAATATATGGTGCTGATAGACTTGCTTGACATGGGGTTGCCACAAACCTTCAATTTGTAAAAACTGCAGTATCTGCAAAGCACAGTAAAGTGAAGTGCAATAAGACAAGTATGTCTGTACTTTTTTTTAGGAGGGAGTCTTTAATACTTTCATTAAGATTTTACCACAAATTCTACAGAAAATAAAAAATCCAGAAATAATTATTACATGTAATTCCAAACTGATTACTGTTGCTTCAGTTTTTTATTTTTTAACATCTGAATCACATTTGATAGTTGGCTAGTTGAACATTCTTTTAGCTATTCCACAGACAATAATTATCCTTACTTTTATTCTAAATCTTTATGCAAACCATATGGCACATTTAGAAATTTTGCAGGCTCTAATTAAAAGTGTCCATTCAAATTATACAAGGTCATCAGAGAAACCATATTGAAATCTACCCTAATATTTTAAGAAAAACTACACACAGATAGCAATATAACAGACCCACTGTCATTTAAATCTATGAAGTCTTCATATTTATTTGTAACACAAAATATCAGAAAACAAAGCACATCACTTGTTGGTTTTCGAAATATGCAAAGAAAACTAAAACGTCAGGGATTCAAGCAGGTAGGCAAAGAAAGCAGCAACTGCTCAATTACGTGTGCCAAGTTATGAGAGTCCCTCAGCTCAAAACAGCTCAATTTGCACTCACTAAATGTGTCAACCTCTTCACATGATAGGCTACTGTAGTGGATGCTATCAGATCTACCACCCGGATCTCCTTTCAGTAACGAAGGCTTCCACCCCACGTGCCAGGAGTGCCGCCAGTCTACAGCCTTTAGCTGTCACCCCTCCTTGGGGTGCTTTTGCTGAAGATAGCTCCCTTATCCAAGGACATGTTCCCTTTCTGGGACAGCACAAATCAAATGACTGGTTCATGTGGAGTATAAAAACCCAACCCCTGGTCCTATGTGAGGACTACTGTGAAGGGCTATCCCAGCTTCAGAACTTCCCCTAAGATGGGCTGAAGCTTTTGTGTGACTGCATCACCCTCCATTTTCTCCTGTCCATTCCTGTTTCCCCGCCTTTCCACCCACTGTTGTTGAGCCTAAGGGCACTCCCTATAAAATGCTGGCTCATTTATCTCCATCTCAGAGTGTGCTTCCTGGGAATCCACCTTGTGACAATTCATTTAAAAATCGGGCTTAAAACCAAATATGAAACAAAATAATTCACAATAAAAAATTTTCAAAAAAATATAGTAAAATGTTAATGTTGGAAATAATTTGGCTTCCAGTTTTATGGGAATATATAACGTATTTCTGAACATGTAACATGTTTCTGTAAAACAACATTTTACTATTAATTTCTAAGGATGAGTCTATTGGTGGAAACTATTGAATTTCTTCTCTGAGGCTCTCCTGAGATTAAAGCAAAAAAAATGTTTAATAAAGAGAGATAAAACTGTGGTAAAGAAAAGATGTTTACTAAATGCAAGTAAAATTATGGATAATTGAAAATAAGTGGAAAGATAATTAAAATGGAAGCCTGCACTCAGAAACCTGGACAAAATTCCACAGGCATTGTAACTGAAAAAGATAAAACACAGCAAAAGAGTGACAAATTATTTAGTTACATAAAACAACATCAAGAAAAGATAGTTTTTAAAAGGCAGAGCTTTAATGTGTTTTCTTAAAAATAATAATGGCAGATAAATTTCTGGTTAACTGAATCAATAAAAAACAGGTATTTACTAGTAATATGACTCTGTGAGGTTACGTGGAAGACAAAAAACATTAATGCTCAGCCCCCATCATCAACAAACTTCAAATGCAATTTACTGAAATTTCCCTAAGACAAACCTTTTCTTTTTCATTTTTTTAATTTTTAATTTTTGTGGGTACATAGTAAGTATGTATATATTTATACAGTACATGAGATGCTTTGATACAGGCATGTGATGCATAGTAATCACATCATAGAGAATGCCGTATACATCCCCTCAAGGATTTATCCTTTATGATACAAACAATCCAATTTACTCTTTCAGTTATTTTAAAACATACAACTACATTAATATTAACTGTACTTACCATGTTGTACTATCAAATACCAAATCTTTTTTACTCTATTTTTTTGCACCCATAAACCATCTCTACCTCTCTCACAACACCCACTACCCTTCTCAGCCACTGGTAACCATCTTTCTACTCTCTATGTCCATGAGTTCAATTGTTTTGATTTTTAGATCCCACAAATAAGTGAAAACATGTGATGTTTGTCTTTCTGTGCATGGTTTATTTCACTTAACGTAATGACCTCCAGTTCCATCCATGTTATTGCAAATGACAGGATTTCATTCTTTTTTATGGCTGAATAGTACTCCATTGTGTGCATGTGCCACATTTTCTTTATTCATCCATCTGTTGAGGGACACTTAGATTGTTTCCAGATTTGGGCTATTGTGAACAGTGCTGCCACAAATGTGAGAGTGCAAATATCTCTTCGATATACTGATGTCTCATTTTTTTGGTATATACCCAGTAGAGGGATTGCTGGATCATATGGTAGCTCAATTTCTAGTTTTCTGAGGCACCTCCAAACTGTCTTCCACAGTAGTTTTACTAATTCACATTCTCAACAACAGTGTATAAGAGTTCTTTTCTCCACATCTACACCAGCATTTGTTATTGTCTGTCTTTTGAATAACAGCCATTTTCACTGAGGTGAGATGATATCTCATAGTTTTGATTAGCATTTCTCTGATGATCAACCAGCTTTTTCTTAAAGAAGAAATTCTAAAATTCATAAATTTTGTATGCACTTTTAACTGAAGCTGTAATTTTTTAACCAAGTGGAAAGTTGTATAAAGAAAAGATATTCTTGCTCAGTTTCATCTAATTTTTAATTTATATTACAATGTGAAAAATGCTCTATTTTTTGTTATAATCACCTTTATTTTGATTTGCTACAAATGCTTAATAATTGTTCCATATATTTCACTCAGTATAAAGGAAAACTTTAACTGAAATTCTAAGATTCTAATAAACTCTGAACAAAATACCTTCAAGATTCTCTCAAAAGTTTCTTTAAGCAAGAGTAATAACATTTGGTATAATACTTTAAGTATAAGTACAGAAATTACAGGATAAGGATATAAAAGTTTTATTTTAAAATATATTATTTTGAGTATAAATTTTGACATTTAGTATCATTTTCTTTCCTTTAATAAAAATATATTAGAGATTTTTATAGTAGAGATTTTCAAATTTAATTGTTCAGAAATATATTTTGAGCCCAGAAAAACTTTCTATTACTTTTAAATATCCTCACATCCAAATGTATCTCTAATATTCTCATGAATATTTTCACAGAAATTTAATACATATATTTCCCATTTAAATCATACATTATCAAAATGTCATCTCAAAAGTAATGTGCTGAATCTTTCTATTATCAACCTATGAAAGATTTTCTTTTGATTAAGAGCAACATACATATTTAAAAGCTACTGTTTATTTCCTCACACCAAACTCACAAAGTTCAAGACCATAAACATACTTTCTTTTTTACATTAATGAGGTGAAAATGAATAATCTAGCAACTGGTCTTAAAAACATTTCTAAACATAGAAAGGAAGAAGCAAATGAGTTTTTAATACAGTGAATACAGTTCAGTATGCTCATTAGCATCGTATCCAAACCTCTTAGAATACTGTATTAAAAACCCTGACAATCTCCCTAAGGGATAGAGATAATAAGTCTTTTTTATATATACTCATTTCCTGAAATATTAAGGGACAGCAAAAAGGGTTAATTTACTTTCCACCTCCCCTATTCCCACCTCTTCATAAGATGAAAGACAAAGGTGACTTCGGCTGATAAATTCTTGGGTGATTCTAGCTCACTAAGATTATTTTTTTCTGATATTGTTGGTAACACTTACTGATTCTAAAATCTACTTAATATTTTCAAAAATGTCAGTGAATGAGTTCAATGAAAGAACAGGGAAGTGAAGAAGACCCAGATTACAGATTGAATACCAGGATGAAATCTAAAGAAATTACTTTATTATCTGGAGGCCATTAACTACTATTTTTTACATTAAGCAGACCCTATACACGTGCATTTTTGTTTTCAAAAAGAGAGAGAGGTGTGAATAATCTTGTCCAATCCATAATGAAAAACCTCAAATTCACTTATATATATCATTGTGTATCAGCATTAATATCCCTGTAAAGGGTGACACAGTACTCTCTTCTCCTCTAAACAAGTGATGATAGGTAGATATTATAGATAGATAGATAGACAGACAGATGGATCTCAGAATTTTAAAACTAGAACTTAAACAATCTTCTTAATCTAAGGAAATAGGTCCCTACCCTGTTCTCAAGCTTACCTCAGGCATAAACATTTTAAAATATGATTATAAAGATAACATATTACTATAGTTACAAGATGGAGACAACAGGAAATAATTTTTCAAAAGGAAATTAAATATCCCAGAAAGCCACTCTTCGGAGAGACTCTATGTTAACATCTTGGTGTATTTTTTTTTTCTAGTCTTCACACAAAAGTCTAACACTTTTTATATTTTCCCAAATTCTTTCCCCACTTAATCTAGTAAAATTCCCTTCAAGTTGTTTAGGCTTTCAAAACCTGCAGCATCACAACCACTTTGTGAGGCAAATGGATTCAAAATCCAGGGAAGGTGTGCCTAAATGTAGGTGAGGAGAGTAGATTAGATGAAGAAATGGGTGGAAAAACCGGTTTATACTTTCCAGACTCCTAGGGCCATGGTAAGAAGAAATGCATTACTATTGTGATATACTATTCTACTTGCCATAATTTTAAGTTAGAAAAGATTCCAAATGAAAATAATTTTGTGCAGAAACAAAATTCTAGGAGGCTTAGTTATTCTAAATGACTAATTCCTGGAGACGCTAAGATTGTCTTGGCATCGCTGTAGAATTTTCATAAACACAGGGACATTGACTGATTGCATCCAAAGATACATCCCAATCACTCAGAATAGAATTCACAGACCACAACAAATAGTTCATTTGACTAATATTCCTGAAGTCACTCGGCACACTACCATTTGCATATTGTAAAAGATTTAATGAAAAATTCATAGAGGACTTGATTACACTAATGACTTTAGTTATATTGGGCCTTTCTTTATAAACCTGGATAAAGTAATGTTAATAATACTAGCCTACTTCTGTGCCACGCTTTACAACACTTTCAAATGCAGCCTGTTTTTTAAACAAGTGCTGCTGGAAGGAGAATTAGCAGATAAGATATTGGTAAATGAAGGAATTAGGGTAATTTAATGCATTGGTTCAGATCTAAATTTTTTTAGCATATTAGTGTTTTGCCCAACCAAGTGCCAGCAGCTAAATGTACACTACACAACTTTAGGACTACGTACAATGCCTCCCTTACTCCATATTCTTCCTCTTAACTTGGGTTAACCAAATCCATGCTCTTGGAAGCACATACCCATTGCACTTTGTATATTTTGACCTGCCTTCCATAGCTCAAAAGCCTCAATCCTTCCTTACCCCCTTTTATCAAGCCAACTTCTCTCTCTCTTTCTTTCTCTCTCTCTCTCTCCTTTTTTTTCTTAAGGCAAAGTTCTATATTTACTGCAGAATTGATTTATTAGGATTTCATTTGTCTTTGAAATTGCAATAGTATTGTTATGAGTATGGTCATTTTAGATAGAGCTCAGGTTATAAAGTTGCATTTGTTTTTAGTATTGTGCCCTTGTTTTCATTAATGATTTTTAGGGCTGTGAGGTTTTCTAGGAACTCATATTATAGTAGAAATACCTGTACATTGTGTTTTTTGTTTGTCTAAACAAACTTATGAGGCTCATAATCTTGTGAAATGAAGCTTCATCACCGTGACTGACAATAAATGAATAAATAAACTTATGAGGTAGGCAGGGCTATTTCCTCCATTTCACAGATGAAGAAACAGGTCCAGAGAGCTTAGATGTTCATCCATCAGCACATGGCAAGTAATGGTCAGAAAGAGTCTGGAGCCCTGGCCTGCTGATTCGTATTCTAATGCTCTTGATACAGTAACACACTCAACATTGTTAATAACTATCTGCATACATTGTTTTATTAATTATGACCTGCCTTATAATGTAGTTTCACAGATTTAAATTAGTATTTCAAAATTTGATGCTTATTTTTTTTAGGTGTTCAAGACTCGTCTGCTTAGCTACTCTTATTTGTGATTCTCTTGAATGCCTTAGAACATAGTAGAAACCCTTGCTTTTATCCTCCATTCCCCACTCCCATCTTGTCCAAAACAAAAAAAAAAAAAAAAGAAAGAAAGAAAGCACAATACATCAGCTGCATTGCTGAGGGATTGAGGTCTTAAAAAGAATGCTCTAATTCACAAATAAAAATCCCATGACTGCACATTGGTCCTGGTGTCTCAGAAGACTAATGTTTGCTGGAAAGGTATTACAGGCCTTTCTACCCAAGAGATGAGAAAACGGACCTGGTTAAAATGGGCATGTGAATAATCAGATCATCCCCAAATACAGCTACATAGGATGATTCATTATAGATTCATCCATGACTATGCAGTGCACATTTACTGAACACTTTTCATGTATGACACATTTTTAGGCACTGAAACACAGAAACAAACATAACACAGCCCCTGCCCTCTAGCACAAAGGAAAAAAAGACTGGTGAGAAGTTCCACTAGAAAGGCTTGGAAGTGGTTCTCAAAATTAATGGTATCCAATTTACCTGGAGGGTTTACTAAAACCAATTGGTTAATTAAAACAAAAAGATTGTTGGGTTTCACATTCTAAGTTTCTGTTTTTTTAAGGTCAAGAGTGGGGGCTGAGATTTTGCATTTGTAACATTCTTTTATGTGATGCTAAGGCTGCTGGTTACTTAACCTTGTTAAGCTTTTATTATCTGTATAAAATGGACCTCAGTAATAGTGCCTAACCCATAAGATTGGTTTGAGGATTTAAAAAATTGATAACAAAGAGCCTAACACATAGTGAGAAGCCAATAAATGTTAGCTTCTAATATTATTTTCATTATTATTAAGGTGTTTTAGGAGGATCCTTTCAAATTATCTCTCCTAATTCAAAATATTTGAGATTTATTTACCAAAGACAAACTGATAAAAATTAAATAAAATTCTGAGAGAGTTTACTTTTAGTAATACTAAGAATTAAATCAGCAATAACCTATTCTTCCCTTATTCTGCTTTTGATACGGTGGAGACCACTGGGCATCTAAGACGAGTTGATAAGGGTGAAAGTATTATCCCGAGGAGAAGATAAAAGCAACAACAAAAAAGAGCTTGAAGTAAAATAGTCAACTTAAAAATCCTCTTGTCTGTCCTATATCCCCACTTAACACACACAAATTTCCATGCAGGAACCAGAACTCCATCTACACTTTGCCTGTCTCTGTAAAAGCCATTATTATTATAATAGCAGAATCATTAAAGAAGGAAATATTGGACTCCTTTTTTCAGTTGTAGGTCTGCTGTTTCAAAACTCAAGCTGTGTCCAGTTCTGTTACATGACAAGCCTCCTGAACATGTCCTCAGCAGGACACGACATAAGTTGAAAATAAGGTTATTGGAAAAAAAAGTACAGAAAATAATGATTGATCGCCCATGGAAAACAGCTGCTTCTTGTTAGCAGTTAAACAAGTGCTCTCTTGCTGGGTTTTGAATATATATATATATATTTTTTAGACTGAGTCTCGCTCTGTTGCCCAGGCTGGAGTGCAGTGGCACAATCTCAGCTTACCACAACCTCCACCTCCTGGGTTCAAGCGATTCTCCTGCCTCAGCCTCTCAAGTAGCTGGGATTACAGGCATCCACCACCACGCCTGGCTAATTTATTTTATTTTATTTTTTTCATATTTTTTAGTAGAGACAGAGTTTCTCCATGTTGGCCAGGCTAGTCTTGACCTCCTCACCTCAGGAGATCCGGATTACAGGCCTGAGCCACCACACCTGGCCAGGTTTTGCAGAAATCTTAATGCTAAATACAGAGACATTCCAACAAAGGCATATACGGTACGAAAAGAATACAGAAAATGCCTTTCCTTAACAAAATTTCTCTGAAACTTCAAGTACATAAAAATCTCTAAACAATTAATACCCAAGCAAGGTGAGGCCTGCCTTAGGCCAATTAAAAAAATGAAATATTTATTACAGATGGGTTCTTTACTAAACATAGGACAATACAGGAAAAAAAAAACTAAATCAAAATTACCTAAACATTAGATAGCAGAAGCAAACTAGTATAGTATCCATGTGATAGATTATTCTTTTGTTTGTTCCTTGCTAAAGGTGTGATGCCCTATTCAAGTAAACAAAGAATATGCTTTCATTGAATTTGTGAATATCTCTTCTAAGTTTAAATTTTATTAATGATGCTCTAAGCTTTAAAAAAATCAAAGAAGTCATTACATGGAAAAGATACTTGCACACACATATTTATAGCAGCACAGTTTGCAATTGCAAAAATGTGGAACTAACCAAATGCCCATCAATCAATGAGTGGATAAAGAAACTCTGGTATATATACACAGGATGAAATACTACTCGGCCATAAAAAGGAATGAATTAATGGCATCTGGAGAGACCTGGATGAGATTGGAGACTATTATTCTAAGTGAAGTAACTCAGGAATGGTAAACCAAATATTGTATTTTCTTACTCATAAGTGGGAGCTAAGTTATGAGGATGCAGAAGCATAAGAATGACAATGGACTTTGGGGACTCAGGGGGAAAGGGTGGGAAAGGGTGAGGGATAAAAGACTACAAATATGGTGCAATGTATACTGCTCGGATGATGGGTGCACCAAAATCTCAAACATCACCACTAAAGAACTTACTCATGTCACCAAACACTACCTGTTCTCCCAGTAAACTATGGAAATTAAAATAAAAATACTACGATCAATTAGGAATATAAAGATTTAAAATGTGCCATTAAATAAATTACCTAACATTTTAAAAAATCACTTTATGTTTCAGTGAACAAAAATTTACAAAAAATGGAAGCATACTTTAATTCCTGGATGACGTTTTAACTATTGTTCTTAAGGGGTTGGATTTTTTGCAGTCTCCTGGTACAGAACTCACAAATGATGAGCATCAACTGTGTATTCTTCACCACTTTAAAGATATTGCTCCAGTTGTTTTCTAGATTCTACTATAAAAAAAACTATGGCATTTTAGGCATTCTGTCTTTTCAGCCTTGCTGATTTTAGAATTTTTTCTTTATTCCTGATGTTCTGAGGTTTCACTAGAGGTGGTATGGCTTTAATTACCTCTATAACAGTTAATCTTCACTTCTAATCTGAAAGTATATATCTTTCTCTAATTCTGAAAAAAAAAAAACATTTTTAGCTGTCCTCTCTCCAAACATTCCTTCTTTGCCATTTCTCCTGTTTCTGAGACTCCTAATACCCATGTACTGTAACCCCTCAGTAGATCATCTGTGTAGCTTAACTCTTCTTCCATATTTTTATCTCTATATAATTTGGCTGTGTGCTATAAATGAAATCCTCAGCATTATCTTTTGCTAATTCTTTCTTAAGTTATATCAATACCTATATGCACAATTTTGACACTTTTGATGCCTCCTCATTTTCGATTCACAGTTGCCAGTTTTTGTTTCATTAAATTTTTAGTATTCCTTTTTCTGTCTTTTTGATGATTTTGACCGTAGTTAATTACAAGCCATTTATTACTATTATTCACTTGTTGATGAAACTAAGTTCATCTTCTAATGTTGAGGGTTTCTTTTTTAAGCTTTTTTCCTTGGCATTGATTGTTTTTTTGTTTGTTTGTTTGTTTTGTTTTTTGTTTTTTTGGGACGGAGTTTCGCTTTTGTTGCCCAGGCTGGAGTGCAATGGCATGATCTCGGCTCACTGCAACCTCCGCCTCCCGGGTTCAAGCGATTCTCCTGCCTCAGCCTCCTGAGTAGCTGGGATTACAGGTACCGCAACCACACCCAGCTAATTTTTGTATGTTAATAGAGACAGGGTTTCACCATGTTGGTCAGGCTGGTGTCAAACTCCTGAACTCAGGTGATCCACCTGCCTCGGCCTCCCAAAGTGCTGGGATTACAGGCATGAGCCACCGCGCCCAGCTGGCATTGATTGTTTTCTATGTGCCTTAGAATTTTAGTTGGCAACTTCGATTTGCATAAAAGCATTTTTTTTTCTTCTGCTCTCTCTCTGAATTCATTCCTCCCTTCTATCATTTTGCAGCTGCCTGCATCTGGACTCTCTAGGAGAGGTATTGCATGAGGCCTATGCATTCCAGAAAATGGAACTAACACAGACTGTCTTGGAACAATCGGGTGGTTTGGCCTGGTTCTGAGTCCTTCTCGCCATCCAATGTATGCAAATTAGAACAAACAGCTTAAGTCAGCCTCCTTTCCTAGCCCCTAATTCCCTGCAGTGAGTTCTGCCCTGGTACCCTGACGTTTTGGGTTGAACTGTGTCCCCCACAAATTTATACATTGAAGTTCTAACCTCTAGTATCCCATAAGGTGACATTATTTGGAAAAAGTGTCATTGCAGATGTAATTAGTTAGGATTAGGTCATATGGAAGCAAAATGAGTTCCTAATCTAATAAGTCTGCTGTCCTTCGAAAAAGAACACCATGTGAAGAGAAAGACACTCACACAGGGAGAACGCCACATAATAATGAAGTCAGAGATTGGGGTGATGTTTCTGCAAGCCAACATTCAGCACAGATTGCCAGCACAACACCAGAAGCTAGGGAAGAGGCCTGGAACAGATCCTTCCATAGCACCTTCAGGAGCATGGCCCTTCTGGAACTTTGATCTCAGACTTCTATCCACCAGAATGATGAAACAATAAATTTCGGTTGTTTAAGCCTTTATTTTGGCAACTCTAGAAAACTAACATATCTACCATATGTGGGGTTCTTTAAGTCTCTGTTAGGAGTTTTTATGCCTTGACTCTTTCCAGAAATGGAGCCCAAAATATCTGAGATTTTAGCTATGTCCGTCCACATCCACTTACAACTCCGTGATTCTGTTGCTTTTTTTGTAACATGAAAAAGTCTTTTTTTTAATCTTAATTTTTTTAGTTTGGCTTTTTAAACCTAATTTTAAAAATATATTTTACTTACCACTAACATATCTCTGGACAGAATAAAAGAGCTTAATATGGGAACTCACATTACAATAATTCCCCAAAATATCTATTTTCTAAGAATTATATAAGAAACATATATTCTTTTATAAGTGTAAAAAGGATTTTAAGGCAAAAAGACACATTTAACAATGTATATTTTGATCCATGGTTTTAACAATATTTTACAGAGGCAAGAAAAAAATATGAAGAAATGAGAAAGTGAAGAAGCAACAACAACAACAAAAAACCATCAAAAAAGGAAGTCCATATTGCTCTAAGAGGATAAGTCAGGGTTCTCTAAACACAGATTCCAAGGAGCAGGAAAAATTTTTTTTAAATCAATAATGAAAAATCGATTGCTATTTCTATTTTCCTTTGATTACTATTAATATTTTCTAATCCACTGTTATAGATATAATGGTTCCCTTAAGTCTTTCACTGGCTAGCTTTCACCCACGTCTGTTTAGAGAAAAAAACTGCAACACTAAATCAGAGCCCCTAAGAAATGGGTGTGGGTGGCACCAAGTTTCCTAGTAGGTCTTTTAGGAAGCTGGGTGGAAGGATACGCTTTGCTGCCTGGAGACCAACATTCAAATGCATTTGTGCTATTTTTTCTGATGAACAGCTTGCGCTGTTAAAATAAACTGCTAATAAAACCTTTCAATGATTCCCCATTCAGAGTATCTGCAAACATCAGCCATGGCCAATAAACCAATCAAACAGCCTAAAAAATTGTAAACAGAGTTGAAGTCAGTTTGTAACATACAATTAAAAATATCCAACAAACCTAGGATCTAGGTCATGCACATAAAAAATAGACAATAATTATATAAAGCAAGGGCAATTGAATTATCTCCCACACAATTCTTATCACATTTTTATTATACATTTTTTAAAAGCATTTCTGGTATATAAGCTAACACATTTTCAATGTAAATTCTTCATTGGAGATATTATAAATATCTTTGCACAAGATGTTTATGGGGTAGGTGTCATTGTAGAAAGAGTACTAGATTTGGAGTAAAAAACAAACTGTGGTGCCATAAGTTATTGACCATAAGAAAATTTTAATCTTTCTGAGTCCTCTTTTCCTCAGAAGTAGAAGCAGGAATAAAACCTCTTTCCTTACATGGTAGATTATGTCAATAATGAAGTGTTATTTAACAATTTATTTACATTACTATAAAAACATGGGGAGAAAAATGGCTGAAGAACAGAAAAAAAGTAAAATTCAGCAAAAACGAATTATCTCCTTGAAAAGTAAAGACACATCATGGCATCGTTATTTCAACTTGTGAAAGAATGTACACGTGTCTAGTCATAATGTGCAGGCTGACTTAAGTGCATGGCTTGGCCTCAGATACACTGGCCCTGATCTTTTTGCTTCATGTTTTCAATCACTATGGTGGAGTCAGAGGTTTGAATAATATTTGGTTCACATAAAGGGTCTGATGAACCAAACCCACACAGGTTCAACTGAATTCCTATTTATGGATATATTAGTGGGTAAAAAACCTTGGACTGTTCTTTTTTCACAGTGAATCATGTTCCTGGTGAGTAGATCTATTCAAGAAATCAAATTATAGATGGGAAAGTAGACTTTGCACTATGAACAAAGAAAGTCATGAGCCTTTACTGCCATCAAGCTGAACAAGCCCAGTGAGACTTGCGCTCCTCTGATGGGCTGGAAAGCAGACTCTTCCTTGGGCAGAATCAGAAACATTCAATCGGCCAATATTTATTTTCTATGAGCCAGCAATTTGTTGGACCTTAGGTAGTATACAGATGTATGGAAAGGACGCTGTACTCAAGGAATGCTGAGTCTAATAAGACAAACATGTGAACCCCTAACTATAATAAAAATAAGATTGAGTCTTGTGTAGATTTTATGTGAGTGTGCAGTGAGTGATGGAAAAAGAAATGAAAGGAAGCAGGCCAGGTGTGATTGCTCACGTCTGTAATGCCAGCACTTTGGGAGGCTGAGGTGGGCGGATCACCTGAGGTTGGGAGTTCGAGACCAGCCTGACCAACATGGAGAAACTCTGTGTCTACTAAAAATACAAAATTAGCCAGGCATGGTGGTGCATGCCTGTAATCCCAGCTACTTGGGAGGCTGAGGCAGGAGAATTGCTTGAACCGTGGAGGTGGAGGTTGCAGTCAGTGGAGATCACGCCATTTCTCTCCAGCCCTGGACAACAAGAGCGAAACTCCATCTCCAAAAAAAAAAAATAAAATAAAATAAAGAAAGGAAGAAATGGAAGGAAGAAGGAAGCAAACGTTGGGGCACTAGGAGTGTCAGAAGAGTAGGCATCTTCCATACATTTTCCCATTCAATGTAACCTTCCCAACAGTTCCACGAAGTAGAGATATCACCCATATATTAGCTATGGTCAATTTGTCCTCAGGAAATCTAGAGAAGATTAGCTCCAATAGTCCTTTTGCCATTAGTTGACAGGGACAGTGGATAATTAGGAAATTATACCCTCATTTGTGGGAAGCTGAGAAGTCCTGCTACAGGGCACACAGAATGGTATGAATGTCCTTGCTGCACTGATGTTTTCATTTATCCTAAGTGATAAATCAGAAATATTTGTTTTATGGAATGTAATAATTTTTTATGTTACAATATTTATAACTATAAAATTTTAATTATTTAAGCACCTCCCTTCTCCTCCCTTTATTCTCCAAAGTGTCCTAGTTTAGGCAATCAGTTTAAGTGGAGCGGTGTCCTTGTCTATGGTAAATTCCCAAGGTTTGTTGTCTCACTCCAAGGGAATCAAGGACATGGACACATGAGAAATGGGTTTAGGAGCGGAGGTTTAATAGTCAAAAGAAAAAAAAAAAGAATAGCTTTCTCTCCTGGGAGAGAGAAGTGCACCTGAATGGGGCCTCCGGCCCCAAGGAAGAGTGCACAGGATTTTATAGACAGGCTTGAGAAGGCCGTGTCAGATTTACATAGGGCCCAAAGATTGGTTGGACCAGGTTTGATGTTTACATAGTATGCGAGGAAGCTGGTCACCCTACCCTAATCTTTTATTACGCAAATAAAATCTCTACTTGGCCATCTGCCATGTTGCCTGCTCCTTACTGTGCATGTGGTTGACAAGGAAAGGGGACAATGGCGCCACCATGTTGGACATGCCTAGTCCCAGTTAGCCTTTCCTATTGGCACAGCTGCCAGCATTCAAGCAAGCTAGAAGCTTGCTTGTCTATGTCTGCAGGTTTATTTTACACACTGCTTTTTGTTATAAAAGAAATGATTTGGAGGCTGCTTTTTATTAAAAGTAAAACCTTACTGAGGACTTCCTTACCTTCACTATCTGCCTAAATCATTTCTTCTTAACTCCTATATCATTACAATTATTCTATTCGGTGATCCTGGTACTCACCTGGCCTAAGTGCACCTATGCAAAAGTGTACAGGGATACTACTTGAATCATTGCAACTGTCCTTCAAGTTCCACCCAGCCATGAGACCCAGAATTTCCTCTAGCAATATCTGACTGTAATAGGGAATTGCCAACTAGTTCTCCAAACCTTAGCAAAGATAAGAACAGACTTCAATTTTTAGCCAGGCCAAGAAACTCCAAGCAGCTACCTAGGCAGGCTTAACCTGTCATCTCACCAACCTCACCGTAAAAAGCAGGATTTTATGCCATTAAATCTCTAAAATTATTTTATTATTATTATATTTCATATTATTTACTTTCCAGAAAGAAAATAAGAATATTTCCTGAACCAAATTTTGAGAAACATTAATCAACAATGTTTTATTTATAAATGTATTCATATAAAAATGTTATAAAAATATATATATACTTAGTAACACCCTTAATAAATTGACTTCATTAAAAAGAGAAAGCTCACATTAAGTCAGGGTATGCCTAGAAAAGTTGGGTTATGTCCTCAGTTACTTAAAAAGAAATAATAATACCAATACTTGGGAATAAGTGGTTCCAAATTATAAATCAGGTGATAGATCCTCCTAAATGATTCTAAATTACTTTTCTCTGGCTTTAGAAAAAGAACAACAACCTATATATAGAGATAAATCCCCAAATTGTCTGATGCCTCATTAGTCTGAAAAGAAACGTTTTGACTCCATTATATTTAAAATAGCAAACTATAATTAGCATGAACTGAGCAACAATTTTTTTAAAAAGACATTGTAGGCTTAATCATAGAGGATATCTTCACTATAACAAGCAGGAGTGAGCCGTGCATAAAGCATAATTTGAAAAGTCCAGGTCCTACTTGGCATATGGAGATACCATATAAGCCAGTGCTTGAAATATAACAGTTGCAATTAACAGCCTGGGAGTAATATCCAAAAAAGGAAACAGATATATCAAAGTCAAAAAACAGGTCCTGTAATTATTACTTTACTTGGTGAGGAGACCAGGTAGCTCATTGCTGTCTGAGTAAGTAAGTAATTCTTCCAAGAATACTACAGGGAAACCTGTCCCTTATTGAATTGTACCCATGAGCCCAGGATGTTATTTTATCTCATTTTGTCCCCCTTCTCTCATGAAGGATTAGATAATCATTAGGGATAAAACAAGAGAACAGTGAATGGAAAGAGACAGAGAGATAATTTCAAATATGATATGTTTCTTACTTTAACCTACCTCTGGCCTAATGGTCTTTGGAAACTTAAAATAATTTTAGAGAAATCATAATGAACAAATACATTTAGAAGTCAGACATGTGATTTGGTATAATAAAATGAACAAGAATATATTATTGATGCTAATTTCAGTTCTGTAATTCTAAGTACTAATATTTGATCCAAAATGGCTATCATGACTTAAATTGTAAACTAAAAACTAAGAATGTTGCCAAATTTACTGCCAATCTGGTGTTAGATGTTTAAGCTATATAACAAAGAATGAATATTAACTAGTATTCCACTAATATGTTTAGTAGAGAAGGATGACTAGTAGCAAGTATGTGAAGTCTTTTTGTGTATATTTAAAAAAAATTTACTATGAATGCTAGTGGTCTAATTACCATAGCCTGGTTTTCTTTCATCATAGCTAATAATAAAACATTCTTGCACGTTTTAAATTTAACAAGTATATATTTTATCAAATTTTTCTCTTTGAATAGTTTTACTGGATGTAAAATAATGTTAAAATTTGAGAAAGCACAATAGTGCCATTTTGAAAATATTTTGTTTTTATTATAAATGTATCCCATGTTCAAGGTAAGAAAAAAGTATAAACAGTGCAGAGAAGAAACAACTGAAAATAAAAGTCTCCCCCTTTTAATGACCCCCTCATATTTTCCCAGACACAGAGGTTATAATACTGTTAATAACTTCCTATGAATTTATCCAGATACCTTAAAATACCAGTTCTAACACACACATACACGCAAGGGTTAATATAGTGTAGACAATTTTTCATCTGTATATAAGTAACTATTTTATTCTTTTTGATTATTACCTTATGTTTAAATTTGTTAACATTTATTATTAAGGCATGAAAGTCTAGGTAAGTAAATACCTTTGTAAACAGGTCTGAGGCACAAAGGATATCCTCCCTGATAAAGAAGCCAATGGAAAAAAGACAATTACATATCTAAGAAAATCACAGGTGATGATTTTGCTCATTGTCTTTTCTGTGAACATCATGTAGGCCAGAGGCTCTGGCTTTTTTATTTTATAGAATATAGTCATTCGAGGAAACACTATTGAGCAAGGTGTCATTCGTAAAACATTTGTGTTTTAACAAGCCAAAGGGTATTTTTATTTTTATCAACTCCTCTCATACAGAATCACTTAGAAACACTGGCATTTTCAATGAACTTCATATTCCAGGAAATGAATACAAGCCCATACTTTGAAAACAGAACAAAATGCAATTTTGTTTGTTAAATTACTCGAAATAGCAATCTAACTGGATTTTTGAGTAATTGAGCTTCCTTTTTCTTCAGCTACTAGTCTTTTAATATTAAACAGCCCCACTAACATTTTGTAGATAATCATGCCTAAAGTAGTGCTTAAAATTGGGCTGTTAATGAGAGTGCTGGCAGATCTGCGGTTCTTGCAAAATCTATTATAGATTGTTTTAAAACTTTATTAATGGTATATCAGATGGGTCCATAAAATACAGGGATGTTTCAATACAGAATATGACTTTTATTAGTTCTCCCATGAAAAACGGCATCAGTTTGATTCGAGATGGCAATAAAAAATATATAGCCTGTTCTAGGGAGCTCCATTTTCCCAGATCTTGAGATTTGTGATTAGCAGGCAAAGAATTCATATCACATAGCAGGTAAGGTAATGGACAAAGTAAGATTTACCATGCCAAAACTTTCCATAGAAAGTCAAATCCATACAACCTGGCTGATGTGGCATTCCTCCTGATATTTCCTTTAAGCGCATTCAAGGATTACATACACACATTTTTGATGCTCAGTATTAGGAACGAGATGACCCATTTATATATAATAGTTATAGTAGGTTATAGTTATATAATTATAAATATATAATATTTATATTTTATATAATATAAATATTATATACATAATAGTTATAATAGATTAGTCCGCTCAAAACTACCAGAAAATGTCTGCGAGTTCCACACCTTCTTTAAGATATCTTAAGAAAAAAAAGAAGTTAATGCCATTGTAATTTAGAATATGTTCAATTTTCTTAACTTTCTGGGTTTTTTAACAAAATAATTGCAATATCCTGTATGTTATGACAAAGATTCCTATGCTTTTAGGTTTATGTGCCAGGCATATGCTTCTGACTTTCATAACACTTACTCCCCCATCCCATTCCCACCTAAAAATACATTCCTTTTTCAAAAACAATTATTGTTTTGTTTAGTTTTAGGAACTGATGTTTATTTTTCATCAACCTGATTTCCATCTTGTTTAAAAGTCTGTAGAAAAATGGCTTAAGACATTCAGTGGTTGTTTCTACCCATTCAGTGGCCTAAGCAGTGGCAGCTGCAGACCAATTTTCCATGGTAGGCTGTGTTATGGTCTTCAATAGGGAACTGCTGAATAGGCACAGAAGGCATCTGCATGCCTTCAAACCAGACTGCAACCTCAGGTTGAGGAGCAGTAAACTCAGGAGCTGGAGCAGTCCTTTCACCCTGAAATTCCTCCTTGGTTACAGCTTTCTCAGAAGCAGACTGCCCTTCCTTTTAAGGGTCTTTGCAGAAGTAGAAATCAGACATGACCTTCCATGGGTGTTCACAGGAGACGGTGCCACACATGCACAGAACTTCCAGGCCAGCACCCACCATATCAGACCCACTCAATGAGTTCCCTTGTTGTTGCTTGGATGGCAATGTCCACACAGTGCAGAGAAGAATCTGTGTTACACAGAGCAATGGTAGGTATGTTAACATAACATGCTTCTGTGAGGGGCTGGTGGTCAGCTCTGGGATCAGTAAGCACCAGAAGACATGGCTCCCAGAAGGCTGCCTGGATTTGGATAGTAAAGGTTCCAGAAATAGAGCCATCAGCAACAGGAGTGGCTCCAGTGGCAGCAGCAAACTTCTCCACAGCCCACTGGCCAGTATTCCCTGAGGACATGACACTGATATCTGTTGTTAATGGCAACAATGGCACGAGCTGCCAGCAGAAGCTTCTCCCAGGTCTTCTTCAGATTTATGGTATAGATGCCATCGCTTTTCTTTTTGGAAATGTACTGTTGCATTTGAAAGTCAGGTTGGTGCCATCTAAGTGGGTTTCTGCTGCAAGGAATTTGAGGACATCCTTCTTCATTTGCAGGACATTAAAGACTCTGGACATGGTGAAAGTTTCCCTTTAATTACAATGGGAATCCAGAACAATGCGGTATGGGCCCCTCTCTGGGTAGCAAGGAAAGCTACTATTATCTTCTGAAGCAGAATATCATAGTTGTTTTAGGTCTATTTTTAAGAATGCATAAACTTAAACTTAGGAACTCAGACATTAGAAATTAATTATGCTTGCTGGGCATGGTGGCTCACGCCTGTA
Source organism: Homo sapiens (assembly GCF_000001405.40). Lineage (NCBI taxonomy): Eukaryota > Metazoa > Chordata > Mammalia > Primates > Hominidae > Homo > Homo sapiens. Next base: position 168,666,351 of record NC_000003.12, on the reverse strand, counting down.
ATCCTAGCACTTCAGGAGGCAGAGGCAGGTGGATTGCTTGAGCTCAGGAATTTGGACCAGACTGGGCAACATGTGAAAAACCCATCTCTACCAAAAATACAAACAATTAGCCAGGCGTAGTGGCAGGCACCTGTGGTCCCAGCTACTCTGGAGGCTGAGGTGGGAGGATCCCTTGAGCCTGGGAGGCGAAGGCTGCAGTGAGCCAAGATCGTGCCACTGCCCTTCAACCTGGGTGCAGAGTAAGACAACGTCAAAAAAAAAAAAAAAAAAAAAAAAAAAAAAAAAAGAAAAAGAAAAAGAAAGGAAAGGGAAGTTAATCATGTTTTCCAGGAGTCTCCTGAGAGAATATTTCAATCATGTCTACAGACTAATTTTTAAATTAAAATTTAATATAAAATTTGTATTGTGCTGAATTCTGAGAATACTTCCTTAGTATTTAAGAAGTGAAATACTTGATTAAAACCTTACCAAATCCCATCTCTTCCAATGGCTTTACTCTGATCTATTTTGTGCCCATTCATCCTTTCACATACCACTCAGTATAAATCTACTACATGCCAGGTCTTGTGCAAGGCAGCAGTCTGGGCTACTACACAATTAAGGAATGATCCTCACCTTCAAGACATCTATAGTCTGATGAGAAAGACAATTTAACAGATAAATGTAATACACCATCTGAAGTTCTAATAGTAAGTTTGTTCAAAGAGTTCTGGGATCACAGGGAAACAAAAGGATTAAACTTTCACTATACACTAGAGAAAAAAAAGTCCAGAAAAGTTCAGAGAGAAGATGGTTGTGAGCTGGTTATATTCCCTCCATCCCTGTCTCCCCACCTCCAACCTGCCATTAAGCGTCTCTCCCATCATTCTATCCCTTCCACTTTTAAATGATAATACCACGTGGTTGTTAAGGAGCTTTCCCATAGTAAATTTCTCTACTGTGTGATCACATTCCTTTTTTTTAAATAGGAGTTGGGGAATATCATACGTTCTGATAGTCGAAGTTACAATCAGGTTATTAATGACTTCAGAAGGAGAAATTACATTTCTACCCACCCTAAACTTCAAGATCTGTCCTAATATCTTCTGCTTTTTCTGTAGTAAGATATATTTTGAAGATCACTCCTCTGATTATTCCCTTGGCTAGGTTCCAGGTTCAATGGCATTTAGGAAGACATTAACATACCATCAACCAATTATTTCAGGGCATCAAAAAATTTCACATTTGCAAAGACCTTTGCTATTGACATCTCCTTTTCACCGTGACACTCAGTTTATTCTCAAAAAAATCCCATCTCACGCCTGTAATCCCTGCACTTTGGGAGGCAGATCACGAGGTCAGGAGATCGAGACAATCCTGGCTAACACAGTGAAACCCTGTCTCTACTAAAAATACAAAAAATTAGCCAGGCTTCATGGCAGGCGCCTGTAGTCCCAGCAACTAGGGAGGCTGAGGCAGGAGAATGGCATGAACCTGGGAGGCAGAGCTTGCAGTGAGCTGAGATCGCACCACTGCACTCCAGCCTGGGTGACAGAGCAAGACTCTGTCTCAAAAAAAAAAAAAAAAAAAAAAAAATCCTTAAGTTTGTTTGGGCATATGTGATTATTCCCTTTTTAGAGATGAGAAAACTAAGATTCTCCATGTACAGTAGCAGAGACTGGACTAGATTCTGTGGCTATTTTCTATCTCCTCATGTTTCTTTTCATGCACGTGCCCAAATTAAATTAGTTCCAGGACTGATCATTACTGCAGAAGGAGGGTTTAAAAACTCTAGTCAATATTTTTGAATATCTACAGGAAGTAATAGTCCTAGCACTCAAAGTATTAGCACTGTTTCTTTTCTTAAACGTATATCTTATATACATGCTAATATTTGACCTATGCTTTTAATTATTTAGTGATCATAGGAAGTAAATTCTTACTTTTGATTTTAATTGAAAAAAATCTTTTTGAACAGCAGTATGATTTTTCAGCTCAATAAAGGCTGAAATATCTAGCCTCAGACTTCTTTATGTGTATATGTGTGTGTGGCCAGTTGGGGATGCTCCAAGATTACCAAATATAATAATAATTATAATACCAATTATAGTTATAATGAATATTATAATAGTGAGTTAGAAAATTATTTTCTCCTAATAAATCAATGAGTGAAAAGAAAGCCTATGTTAATATGAACTATGTGTTGTTAGACTATAGTGACCGCTGAAGAAGAATTTATATAACACTATTATCAAAAACAATTTTCTTCCACAGAAAGTTGTGTAGAAGTCTACCAAGTCTCATCAAGAACAGCAGTTTCTAAAGATAAACTTTAGACAACAACCCAGTGTCCCAAATGATTAGGGGACATTTGATAAAGACCAGATAAAATGAAATAAATTATAATCTTTGCAGCAAATCATGAAAACCGGCAAAGAGAAGAACAACAGCCATGTAGAGAGGCCCTATACCTTAAAGAAACTATTGACAATAACTTTTCCATCTCTAATCTTCCACCCAATGATTTATACTCAGGCAAGTCTGAGATGTCATCTGGGAAGTTCTGGCTAGCTGCCACTGAAGACTTCTCTCAGGATGAAATGACTATGATGAATTCTCTTCAATCTAAGGGGGCCTTGTCACTTCATTTTATCTCCTTGCTGCAGACGAATAAGTAAAATCAGAAAATGACCTAATGGTTTATAGGTCTTAATGCTGCATTATCATGATTAGCCAAACAGAAATCGGAAAGTTGGTTGTCAAGCATAGAAACTGCATTAGTTGGCTTTTGTTGTAATAACAACCCAAAGGCTAAGGGGCATACAACCACCAATATCTTCCTTGCTTAGAGGTCTCAGGTTGGCTGTCGCTCTACTCAGCTCTGTACATCATTCTAGGACCCAGATAAAAGAGTAGACTCTGTCTGGGACTTGCTTTCTTTATGGCACAGGGCAAAGATGGAAGAGTTCATGCTAACCTATGGACTCACGTTTAAAACATCTGCTCAGAACTGGTGCTATATCACATTAATTGCTATGCTATTGACCCAACCAAGTCATAAGCCCAAGTCAACCAATGGATGGGAGAAATACCTTTGCCTTCAGGGGAGTACTCAAATCTACATGTATTTATAAGGGATGAAGGACACATTTTTATACGTCTCTTATGGAGCACAGGAAGCATAGCTGGGAACTGTGCTTATTGTTGATTAATTGCCTCCTATCTCCAAGTTCATTATTTTTGCCTTCACTGTGAAAATGGATCTGGGCCCTTTAATTTCCCTTTGTCAGCAGGCACTATGTTAAAACTTGCCAGTAAAGGACAACGGAAAGACATTGTAGAGTAAGCATCATCCTTCCTGGCTCCAGTGTACTTTTCTAGACAGGCTCCTGATGCAGCTTCTCTTGTTCCTGGCTCCCCTAAAGCAGACGACTTCTCTAGTCCGGCTCTTGGAGCCTGTGTAGCCTTTTCAGTGTCTGGCTCCCATAGTTCAGGTATCTTCTCCAGCAACTGGTTTTCTCAATGTGTCCAACTTTCCCAGCACCTAGCCTTTGAAATGCCTTCTCCAGCCTTTGGAAGGCCCTTTCTCCAGCACTATTCGCCGGCAGTGTGGTGGCTTCTAGGGTTTACAGCTAGGTTGCTACTTTGCACATAGCTTCTTCAAACCCATCTTCTACAACGCGGCAGCTTCTCTGGTGCTGGGCTCCTGCAGCACATGTAGTTTCTTTAGCACCTGACTTGTGCAGTCACGGGTGGCCAGCAGCATCCAATGACCAGCAACTTCCCGACTCTCCCCTTGGGCAAAAGATAATTTACCTTGAACAGTTTTCTCCCACCTCCTAGACTGTAGATTTCTGGCAAGTTCAAGAAGCCCGATTTTCAAGTCCTGCTGGTGTGGCAACACAGTGACCTCTCTGCCATTCAGTGAACCGTGGTTGCAACCTTTCTAACTAGGTCTGGATCTCAGCCCTGGGGGAGTCTCTTCTTTGGGTGAAATGGAATCAGTTCACCCCTAGAAGGTAGTAGTTGAAATCCTGTATTTTTTAGCATTCTCTTTATTTCTTATAGGCCAGTTCCTTATTACTCCAACCTCCTGTTATAGTTAATTCTTTATATTAAACTTCCCATGTTCAAATTACTGTGCAGTTCTTTCTCTCCTGATTGGACCCAGACTGATGCAGGAACTATAATATAAGCTATCACAGAGATCTAACAAATGGAATCAATGAGATGAAACTTGCTGTTTAATGGGATAAAGTAGCCTAACATATTCATTTGCACATAGGACAGGGATTCTCAAAGTCTGTTGGTTAAGGCTTCATCTTTCCTGGGCATTCCTGGGTGGTTTTTTCTCTTTGTACATCTCTGTATCTGACCACACTTGATTGCCAGGATCCTTCTTAAGCTCTATGAATACCATCAGATTATAGTCAGGCTCTTTAAGCCTCTCTGAGAACAGAATTAATTCTCCTGATTTTTCTCCACTTGATTTTGTGTTGAATTTTAAAAGACATCTAATTTTCTTTCTTTCTCCAAATTCTTGAGCTTGGCCTACTGGCTCTCTCACTTAGGCCAGTATCACATACACATTAGAAAAGACCTATGAAGAACAACATTTTAAAAAGCACCAATCCCTTAAAACTATAATTGCTACATCTCTGTTCTGATAAGCTTAATAATCTATGATAACTACGAACTTAATTATCAGAGTGTGTGAAGTATATATAGAAATCCAAGGATAAAATTTGTATAAGCAGTTCTGTTAAAATAAATATCATATATCACACAAAATCATGTAAATTTTTATCATTTAAAATTTATTTTCTGAGAACCAGCACAGCAAATGTAAACCATTTTATTGGGCAAAAAAGAACCTAACTTGCACTTTATTATTTATTTATTTATTTATTTATTTATTTATTTATTTATTTATTTTTGAGACAGAGTTTCACTCTTGTTGCCCAGGCTGGAGTGCAATGGCGTGATCTCGGCTCACTGCAACCTCTGCCTCCCGGTTCAAGCGATTTTCCTGCCTCCCTAAGTAGCTGGGATTACAGGCACCCACCACCATGCCCAGCTAATTTTCTTTCTTTTTTTTTTTTTTTTTTTTTTGTATTTTTAGTAGAGATGGGGTTTCACCATGTTGGTCAGGCTGGCCTCGAACTCCTGATCAGGTGATCCACCCACCTCAGCCTCCAAAGTGTTGGGATTACAAGCGTGAGGCACCATGCCCAGCCTGTAACTAGCACTTTAAATTAATATGTGAATATATTTTTTGCAGAAGTATTTGAGACTGCAGCTATTCCTCTCAATTGAAAAATGAGGAAGTCAAATAATTATTTGAGAAAACATATAATGTTTTATTTTCTTGTCTAAAATCTCCTCTAAACTGACTACTGATGTGGATAATTGATGACAATAAGGTCAACATGAATATATTGAATACAAGGTAGGTGTCTAACACTGGGATAGAACTGGGGAAATCTAAGAAATGTTTTTGGGAGAGACACAGAAACAAAGAAAGCCAAATGGAAAACAAGGTTACCTTAAAGCTGTGCATAAAAGGCCAAGTAGAATCCACGGCTGCTGTAATGTGTGATAAAATTTAATTGCTGCTTTTGCTTTGCTCTCTTCTAGCCTCTAATGTGATATAATCTCATATCTTACTAGATACCATAGGTTCTCTGTGTTAGCTATAAGGTTCAGAAAAGTAGTTTTTATGTGGTCATTATAACCTCTAAAAATCTTTTCCTGGCCTCTTGCACAGAATTCCAGCTTTCGAATTACACTTAAATTTGTAGATTTACGCTTGTGAATTACGGCATTTACAACCTGAAAGAGACTTTGAAGATGTTCCATTCCTAATGTCTCATTTTATAGATGGGCAAATTAAGGCCCAGAGAAGTGAAGAGATATATTCTGGGTTATAGACTTGGTGGTGAATCTGAAATCACTAAGGTTTCATAATGCCTACGTTAGTGATCTTCATACTGCCTAAAGTCATGCGGACAAAAAGAGTGAATCTGTTTTGATATCAGAGAGTACTACTTGTAAAAATGAAGACTTGAATAGCTATAACTGAAAGAAAAAGGCTGGCCAGGGGGCTGTCTTCATGCTGTGTGTTATGCTGACAATGTGTGGCTCCTCAAGATCCCCATTTTTACCTAATTTAGGAACTATTACCCATATATGGCATATTCATCCTGATATAAACAGGAGCATCTAATTAACACTCTGAGATTCTGAGTGTGTCTCTGTGTATCTTTTAAGCAAAATTTTTTTCTTTCTTTTTTTTAAGCAAACATACTTTTTTGTTTGCTTGCTTACTTATTTGTATATAAAGAAACTTTTTTTTAAAAAAAGAGTTGTTGCTCACTTCTCTTTGCAAACCATCTGGCAATTTCATTTTCCAATGACATCAAACAAAAGGGAAACAGTAAATATAGTAACAGGAGAAAAAGTAAAGACAGTTCATCTCATCAATGAAAGAAATTATTTACAACCAGATTTGAGCAGTGCTAAATATTATGCTCCAAAAGCATAAAAATAGTAATATTGAGGGGAAGTTTCCATCTTTATACTTACTTCTCATTAATTTGAAATTGACATAACTTTTGATTTAATGGGAAATAGACACCAGCATAAAAAGAAAGTCTAGGTTCATAATGAAGATAATAAGCAGATTCTGCCAGATGGCAACATCAAAACCTATGGCAGGGCACATACAGAAATCAAGTACTAATTTTCAAATAAAAAAGGATGAATAAATAGGTCTTCGTCATTTTTATATAATCATTTTTCTATAATGTCAGGAAATTTCATAAGATATATCTGGTTGGAATGTGATATTTCTGTTTAGTGCTTTTAAAGATGCACTTATTCTACATACTGCATTTGGCATTTCTGCTATCGATAATAGATTTATTATTCATCATCATCTTACTTAAAGAGACTTTGATATGTCCCCTTTCCCTTGGGTCCATTGTGTCATCAGAATTAACTGATTCTTCCCTCTTTATACAACTTATGGATATTAATAGCTAGGCAATTTCACTGGCCCATAAATGGTATCCCTGTCATTTCCATGTCTTTTTGTCTTTCTATAACATCCTATGACTCATGCCCAGAACAACTTTCAGAAATCACATTTCCACCCTATTATTCCTCTACTCAGATGTCCTCCATCAGAAACCACATTCCTATCCACTTACCTAGGGGATTTACCTATTGAGTTGAAACTGTCCTCTGTCTAGCCCCAATAAATCATCCACTAGTTCCCTGAATATACTCTCTGCCCTATCCAATAAGTTTTCTATTTCCAGAATATGCAATTAAGCCATTTCTCAAAATGCTCTCTACTAAATCCTTGAATTTTAAACATTTTGCTTTTAAAAAATTTCCAGATGAGTAGGTTGCGAAAATTTTCTCCCATTTTGTAGGTTGCCTGTTCACTCTGATGGTAGTTTCTTTTGCTGTGCAGAAGTTCTGTAGTTTAATTAGATCCCATTTGTCAATTTTGGCTTTTGTTGCCATTGCTTTTGGTGTTTTAGACATGAAGTCCTTGCCCATGTCTATGTCCTGAATGGTAGTGCCTAGGTTTTCTTCTAGGGTTTTTATGGTTTTAGGTCTAATGTTTAAGTCCTTAATCCATCTTGAATTAATTTTTGTATAAAGTGTAAGGAAGGGATCCAGTTTCAGCTTTCTACATATGGCTAGCCAGTTTTCCCAGCACCATTTATTAAATAGGGAATCCTTTCCCCATTGCTTGTTTTTCTCAGGTTTGTCAAAGATCAGATAGTTGTAGATACGTGGCATTATTTCTGAGGGCTCTGTTCTGTTCCATTGATCCATATCTCTGTTTTGGTACCAGTACCATGCTGTTTTGGTTACTGTAAGCTTGTAGTATAGTTTAAAGTCAGGTAGTGTGATGCCTCCAGCTTTGTTCTTTTGGCTTAGGATTGACTTGGTGATGTGGGCTCTTTTTTGGTTCCATATGAACTTTAAAGTAGTTTTTTCCAATTCTGTGAAGAAAGGCATTGGTAGCTTGATGGGGATGGCATTGAATCTATAAATTACCTTGGGCAGTAGGGCCATTTTCACAATATTGATTCTTCCTATCCATGAACATGGAATGTTCATCCATTTCTTTGTAAACTCTTTTATTTCATTGAGCAGTGGTTTGTAGTTCTCCTTGAAGAGGTCCTTCACGTCCCTTGTAAGTTGGATTCCTAGGTATTTTATGCTCTTTGAAGCAATTGTGAATGGGAGTTCACTCATGATTTGGCTCTCTGTTTGTCTGTTATTGGTGTATAAAAATGCTTGTGATTTTTGTACATTGATTTTCTATCCTGAGACTTTGCTGAAGTTGCTTATCAGCTTAAGGAGATTTTGGGCTGAGACAATGGAGTTTTCTAGATATACAATCATGTCATCTGCAAACAGGGACAATTTGACTTCTTCTTTTCCTAATTGAATACCCTTTATTTCCTTCTGCCTAATTGCCCTAGCCAGAACTTCCAACACTATGTTGAATAGGAGTGGTGAGAGAGGGCATCCCTGTATTGTCTGACAAAGGGCTAATATCCAGAATCTACAATGAACTCAAACAAATTTACAAGAAAAAAACAAACAACCCCATCAAAAAGTGGGCGAAGGACATGAACAGACACTTCTCAAAAGAAGACATTTATGCAGCCAAAAAACACATGAAAAAATGCTCACCATCAATGGCCATCAGAGAAATGCAAATCAAAACCACAATGAGATACCATCTCACACCACTTAGAATGGCAATCATTAAAAAGTCAGGAAACAACAGGTGCTGGAGAGGATGTGGAGAAATAGGAACACTTTTACACTGTTGGTGGGACTGTAAACTAGTTCAACCCTTGTGGAAGTCAGTGTGGCGATTCCTCAGGGATCTAGAACTAGAAATACCATTTGACTCAGCCATCCCATTACTGGGTATATACCCAAAGGACTATAAATCATGCTGCTATAAAGACACATGCATACGTATGTTTATTGTGGCACTATTCACAATAGCAAAGACTTGGAACCAACCCAAATGTCCAAAAATGATAGACTGGATTAAGAAAATGTGGCACATATACACCATGGAATACTATGCAGCCATAAAAAATGATGAGTTCATGTCCTTTGTAGGGACATGGATGAAATTGGAAATCATCATTCTCAGTAAACTATCACAAGAACAAAAAAACCAAACACCGCATATTCTCACTCATAGGTGGGAATTGAACAATGAGAACACATGGACACAGGAAGGGGAACATCACACTCTGGGGACTGTTGTGGGGTGGGGGAAGGGGGGAGGGATAGCTCTAGGAGATATACCTAATGCTAAATGATGCGTTAATGGGTGCAGCACACCAGCATGGCACATGTATACATATGTAACTAACCTGCACATTGTGCACATGTACCCTAAAACTTAAAGTATAATAATAATAAAAAAAATATTTCCAAACATGTTTGAAAAACATGTTTGGAAACTTGTGTTAAACAAAGTGAAATGGCTCCCCTTTTGCCTGATTTAAGAGAGCTTTAGCATGTAGTACTCTCCAAAATTATTTGACCATGGACCCTTTTTCATGAAGCCAATTGTTTGATACAGTGTGTTTATATGCACACACATATGAACATTTATGTATTAAAATCTTTCTATTTATCTAAATTAAAAGCTTCAGAAGAATTAAATGTATGGTTACCATATAATCCAGCAATTCAACTCTTAGGTATACACCCAAGAGAAATAAAACTTATCTACACACAAAACTTGCAGATGAATGTTTGTAGTAGCATTAGCCGTAATAGCCAAAAGGTGGAGACAACCCAAATGTCCATCAACTGACAAATGGATAAACAGAAAGTGGTATGTCTACACAATGAAATATTATTTGTCCATGAAAAGGAATGAAGTACTGATACAACATGGATGAACCTTAAAAACACTATGCTAATTGAAAGAAGCCGGTCACAAAACATTGCATATCATATAATTCCATTTATATAAAAGTATAGAGAAATCTATAGAGACAAAGAGTACATTTGTGGTTGCTTAGGGTTATGGGAGTGATGGGAGTGGAGGGAAGTGATCCTAAAATGTATAGGGATTCTTTTTGACATGATAAAAATGTTCTAAAATCTACTGTAATAATGATTGCATATATTTGTTAATATACTGAAAACTTCTGAATTTTACAATTTAAATGGATGAAATGTATGGGCTGTGAATTTTATCTCAACAAACTGGTTTCTTAAAATGTTTCAGAATTGCAGGCACCACATTTCACAGCATTTTGTATCCCTTCTCTATGGCTGTATTATAATTAGCAAATGCTTAATTATTATCTGACACATTGAGAGAATGAGCTGACAAAAGCCTTTTTACCCAGTGTGGTCACTGGATCAGCATCATCTCAAATCCCAGGAGCCTGGTAGAAATGCAGATTCTTAGGCTGATCCCACACCTGCTGAATCAGAATCTGCATTTTAACAAGATCTAAGGTGATTCATATGCACATTAAGTACTGAACTGTAGTATCTTCTAATTGTTGAGTACACTAAGCTTTTACACAGCTATTTTGCTTTCTCATGCCTTAGGGTTTTTTACAGGGATTAAATCAATTCACTTTTAATAAAGACAGCATCGAATGAATTATAATTAACCTAATTTTCCTAGCTGCAGTTTTAATTTGTTTTCCAAAGCTCAGTCAGGCCACCAAAATGTGATGATTATTTAAAATAAAAGAAGTGATATAAAAGTAAATAGACCAGTGATTTAAATACAGAAAAATAAATATAAAATAAATATATTTAAAAATAAATATAAATATGTTATATATTTATACAGAAAATTTAATTACAAAAGATTTGAATACAGAAAAATAAATATAGATATAAATATATTTTAAAATAAATACAAAAATAAATAGATAAATGATTTAAATACAGAAGCTTCCAGTTCACTTGTTCAAAATTATACAACAGATGATTTTAAATCAACTTATTTTCTCACCAATGAAAAGCAATTTATAAACAACTTTTTTCTTATTCTTGTCTACATTTTTTGATGGATTACCACAGGGGTCATCTTAGTCATGCTAAAAAATTATTAAATATACATCAAGCAGAGAAAAGACATTTTGTTTGCACATCTCATCTGGATGGTTTATGCTATTGCTGAGACCGCTATAAGATTTGAAGTGTCCCACTTCAGTAAGCTTGTCAGAACTACAGAACTTTATAACTTAGAAACATGTGTTTGATACGGCATAAAGTATATATGTATAAAATGCATTCCTTTACATGATTATTCTTGTCTCTCCTCTCTCCTGCCCTTCTCCCCGACCTCTCATGCCCACACAGACAGAGAAACCTAGGGTATCTTAGTTCTGCTCTTCTCTATCCCAACCCTGAACTGGGAGTCACTAGGACCCAGTGCCAGTCTGAGACCAACCAAAGCTAACACCTGTTCCCTTCCTATGTGTGTTCCTAGCCAGCAATGACCTCCTACAGTATGCAGTTCCCTTCAGGTGGTCTATTACTTGAGTATTTTCAAATGGCTTTATACAACATTAACTGCCTTTCTCATTCTGCAAGATAGACTTAAAAAATCATATTTGAATGACAATAATTAATTTATAATCACTCTGTGTATTTTGATAATCACAAAAGCCTGTGATTTCATACAATGTTAGAGACCTGCTATCTTCCTTATTAAAATGAGAACAACACTTTTTAGAAAAGTTCTCCAGATTCTTTTCATATATCTTTCCTATTTATAGGAAATGTGAAATATAAGACATTTGTATTTGTAATAGCATAAAGAATTCTGTATGTTTACAATATTACTATTCTTAGGAATATGCTCTTACCAATGAGATACTCATAGAGAAGATATAAAGTAAAAATACAAATAAATATGCATACTCTCAGAAGGTTGGGTTTACCAGTAATACATGTGGAATACACGCATCACATGCATCCATTGGGACAAATAAAATGAGTGCTATCCTTTTATTATGATCTAAATTAAATTCAAGGAAGTACAGACCTGGCCTGTTGACAAACTCAGAATTGGAATTAATAATAAAAACAGAAAATTAACTTGAATTTATGAACTACAGTATATAGTTTTTTTCAGAAATGAGTACCTTCATTTCTTTCTATGATATCATATGCTGAGGATGACTGGTCATCAGAAGGCCACTAAAAATACAAACACATGAAAGTCAATAGCAGCAAAATAACAAATCAACTTTAACTGACTTATTTCCTGATTAAAAATCACACATATGTATTCATAGGCTCCCTTAATAAGTCCTTATTGCAAGAAAAATAAGTCTCCATTATTTAAAAATTGATGAAGGAATTTCTTATAGCAAGAAAATTAAAAAGTCAGTCATCCGTAACTACTTTTATGATAGTAATAGAAAGGAATATGGATCTTGTAAGGGCAGGAACCAACCCTCTACATTTCAGAAGTCTAAAAGGATCATGCTTTAGAATACAGGATCACACTGATCTTTTGGTAGGTATGATTTCATAATACAAAAAATACCTACAAGGTAAACACACATCTGAAGAATTCAAGCCAGGATGCATCAGTTGGAAAATATTTCTGGGAAGTAAATATAATAATACAGTCTTTTAAAAATATCAGCTCATTTTTAAGACTACTAAACAGAAAAACTAAAAAATAATTGTGAATGAAACTAAAAGTTTTATTCTTCAGAATATAAAATATTTTATGCTTCCCAATTTACAGTAAAATTTAAGGACCATGAGCCAAATTTTGGTAAGGAGGTATCTTGCTGCTCACCACATTCAGACAGCTTCACACAGCCATTTGCCCTGATTGGCTGCTTCTGCTTCATTGTTTTTGTAGTAAGAGTGGCATGGGCTGCTGAGGCAATAAGAAGCCTTTTGATGTCTTGCTTGTCAGCCACAGACCTCTAAGACGTCTTTTTTTTTTCTTGTCTGCCTCTTTTGGCACTACCTGTAGAAGCCATAACTGCCATAAATCTGCACATCCCTAATGAAATCTGCTAAGTGAGCCAGCTCACCTTGGGGAATCTGTATGAGCTATAGTCTCTTCCAGCTCCTCTCACTTGTAGATACTCTGTTGACTACAGTTAAGTGTTAGCTGAAAGCTGAGGTATTGAAGGAATTACTCAGGATTATTGGGGGAGAAATGATGGACTTTATTTAAAAGACTGGCTTAACTATAAATAAAGTTGATTTCCATTTTCATAACAGAGTTTCAGATTTGAATTATATGTGTTTTCACTCTAGTCTAAAAGACACATATATCTAAGAATACTCTCAGAAATTTCTGTAAGGAATGTCTTGGGAACAGCAGTAGCAGCTTTGTTGTTAAAATCCCGGATGCCGTCCAGTGTCAATCAAGAGACACAAGAGACAGCAGGACAAGTCATATTGGGCAGAACTCCACTAGGGAATTTATTAAGGAAATTAAAGAAATGGAAGGTTGGTTGTTCAGTCCCAGGGCTAAGTGATTAGTGTCTGTCCCAGTTCCTTGCAGCCCATTTTGATTCAACAGTGGGTTATCTTTTTCTCCTCTTAATTCTCATAGCACTTGTGCCTGCCTTATATTTACTCCTGCTATCTTACACTATAGCTGTTTGTGTATCCATCTAATCTCCTTTATTGAACTGGAAGCTCCTGGGAGAGAAAAAGATAATATTGTACATTTTTTTAAATCTTCAACAACAAATAGCATAGGAGGAAATTAAAAAAAAACTGGAGAGAAATAAAATTTCCTAAGCATTAGGCAAATATAAAGTGCTACTATTTTGAGGGGATACAATAACAAATTCATGTTGCCTGCCTGAATTTTGAATTAATTGAGATCTAATTCAAAATAGGCATATGGAGACAAAATATCCATTTTATTTTTGTTAAAATTGAAACTGGATAAGAGAATTTAAGGGTGCAGCAACAATGGGCTTCCCAAAAATGCATGCAGAATTAGACAAACTCTCCCACTTGGTCCCAGGTGTAGATGGAAAACCTGTCTTCTTCATGTGGGGTCCTGGCATGGTGAAACTTCCATTTAAGCAGAGAAGCAGACCAGAATGGTCACTTTTTGCAGGCATTTGCAAGCCCCAAAGAGAAAATATGAATGTGAGCTAAACCCAACAGACCAATTTATTTCCCCAAACTCACCAGTGAGGTATTTTCACACCTCTTCTCTTGGTAAGAAGGGAGTGGGAGATGTGGGGTGCAGACAGAGGTCAAGAATGTTACTAATAAACAATCCCTCTTTAGGTGAGCACGAAACAGGGGAAAGAAGGTTTTCCTACCATCAAGATGCTTTCAAACTACATCTTATTTGATCTTTCAACCTATATAAGGCTAAGTATTATTACTCTGGTTTTATAGATGAAGGGAAAGCCCATAGATACTAAATAACTTGCTCTAAGTCTCACAGCTAGTAAATGTTAGAGTCAATATTTGAACCGAAAATTTGTGCTCTTTGTTTGACATGGAGCACAGTGTAAGGGTCTGATACGTGCTTGGTGAATAATAAGAAAAAAAACTCTGAATACAATTATGAATCAAGTAGATAAATCCCCCACATTTTAAGTGGTTCAAACCTTTTAAATGTAGTTATTCTGTATTGTAAATGTGTTTCTATAAATTCAAAATGGACAATCTTTAGTATATGTAGATAGACTATATTGGATTTTTTTCAAATTATTCTTCATCTGTATAAATTTCAATGGTTGGCAATTCCAATAGTTAACTACTCCAGTATTTGGCTAGCTCTTTGAGGCCAGGGAACTGCTGTTACTTTGCATGCTCCACAACACCAATAGAAAGAGGTACAGAGTTCCTTTATAAGTGACTATTAAGAGAAGCAACATGCAGAAGTAGAAAAATTCTTCATAATGATTTCAAGTTTTCTTAATAAACTCAAAATAAATATGCATGTGTATGTGTATACATATATCATATTTTATTCTTCAAGTGCCAACAGACTATATTTGGCACAATAAATGTTTTTACTAAGTTGAACAACTACACATTAGTGTGCTGTAAGTGTGTGGAGAATTACTGATTATTTAAGTGTCTCTGAACTAAGAAGAAAATAAAACACACAGGCTTAAACGGGAGCAATATAGGTGACATATAAGGAACGCTTTCCTGATCACAAGAGTTATTAAAAGATGTCCTCCCTTGGAGATCTCTAATACTAGGGTAAACAACTAGCTGGTTTAGACACCATGCTGCTTGGAGGCAAAGAGCTAGCCTGAGTGAACTCTCAAAGGATATAATATAATTACTTGACTTTCATGTAAAATATCACACAATCATTTTATATTCAGGATGCTTAATAATACTGAAACTCTGTGAAGAAATAAACCATACTCTGTACTAAAATATGGGTTGGGTATTCTCGAATTACCCAGCACAGTGCTGGACATATAGTAGTTACCCAATAAATGTTTACTGACCAGATTGATTTTTCAATGAAGAAGAATGACAAATGGGAAAAGGGGAACTGGATTCTGTTTTTTGCTTTACAAATAAATTGTCTAGGACTTGGAGGAAATCAGTCAATCTCTCAGGGTCTTAATTTCCCTCCTCTGACAATCATGGCTTCTATGAGTTGAGGGCCTCTCTACCCCCACAACACTGTGACCCCACAGTCAGACTAGTCTGCATCCGGTTCATGCTGCCCATCAACCACATCAAAGGGAAAGGACAGTGGGTAACAAATAAGAAAGTTTGGCTTCTGGTGTCATTTTGCTCATCAACTAGCACTGTTACCTTGTCCAAATCATTTAATTTCCCTGGAATTCCAACTATAGAAGCCTTTTGGAAGCTGAAATATTCTGTAATTCCACCACAGTGGCATGCTGAATTATATTCTCTGTTTATTCACTTAATCATGTCCATATGCTTTAGAAAAAAAAATCCAAAATATCATTAAAATTACTTTAAAATATTTTAACAATCAATTATTTAAACAATATGCCTTTATCAATGTATAGTATATGTTCATTTATTTCTCTCAAATAGAAGAATTTATCTCAAATGTCCAAACAATGTTCACTATCTTTCTAAGTTAATTTATTAGAATATATAGTAATATTAGTTACCATTTCATTTAGAAAACTTCTTTGACACCACAAGATTACCGTGCTTGAATAGCCACACTACTTACGTTGTGGCACCAATAATTTAGACAAGCCATATGAAGAAACTTTTCAGAAAGCTGAAAGCAAGCCAAAAGTCTTTGATTTGCTCCCTAGAAACAAAAAAATGTGATTTTTCCCTTTCAAATGACTTGTTATCAGCAAATACTTACATTAAGACCTACTGATAACCAAATAGTTTAACTAGTCAAACTTTAAGTGACAATTTCAGCATGATTAGAATCTGTAGATAAGGAAATGAATAAAATGAATAAAAGCCATATTGACTGTATGCTTGTATGTTTGAAAGGATGATGGTATTCATTCATTCAATAAGCATTTATGGAATCCCCCTATGTGCTAGACAACTGTGTGCTGGGGATGAAAAAGTGATAAGACATGGTTCTTTCCCAGGAGATATCCCCAATCTAATTGACAGTACAAATGTGTAAATAAGTACAGTGCTCTGTAAGAAGTTATGGAACAGAGGTATTAGTGTATATAACATGAAAGGGAAGAGAGTGTAACTAATGGTCCTAGAAATAAGGAACAATAGATTTAGACCTTCCACAAGGACCCCAGATGCTGGATTCAGATATGGAATATAGAAGGCTTATATGTGAAATAGCAAAAGAAGATAATACAACTATAAAAATGAGCATACATACAAAAGATAATCTATAAATTTGAGAAAAATGATATTTCTAAAACATAAAGTTAAATGGTTGAAATCTGAAGCAGTATAATCAGAATTACAGAAGAAGGGGATGTTTAGCAACATTCTGACCTCCATCCACTAGATGCCAGTGGCACCTACTCCCCTCAGTCGTGAAAATCAATAGTGTCTCCGAACATTGACAAGTGCCTCTGGGGTACAAAATCACCCCAGTTGAGAGCCACTGCCATAAAGAACATATGAGAAACAAAAATTACTGGCCTATTTCACTCACAGTTGTGGATACAACATCCTAAACAAAATAATAGAGAATTGACTTTAATAGCAAATAAAATGATACCAGTTGAATTTTTTCTGAAGTGCAATTATAGTTGCATATTTGAAAATCTATAAAAATAATCACTCACACTAGCAAATGAAAGAAGAAATTTACATCCTTTCAATAGATAAGCATATATACATATACATACAAGTATGCACATATATAGATCTATATATAGATCTGTGTGTGTGTGTGTGTGTGTGTGTGTGTATGAACCAGCAGTTTCCAATTTTTTTGGCACCAGGGACCAGTTTTGTGGAAGACAATTTTTCCACAGACCGGGGTAAGGGGGATGGTTTTAGGATGATTCAAGTGTATTACATTTATTGTGCACTTTATTTCTATTATTATTACATTGTGATAGATAACAATTATACAACTCAACATAAGGTAGAATCAGTGGGAGCCCTGAGCTTGTTTTCCTGCAACTAGACAGTCCCATCTCGGGGTGATGGAAGACAGTGACAGATTATCAAGCATTAGGTTCTTGTAAGGAACACAAAATCTAGATCCCTTGCATGTGCAGTTCACAGTAGGGTTTGCATTTCTATGAGACTCTAATGCCATGGCTGATCTGACAGAAGGTGGAGCTCAGGTGGTGATGTGAGTGATGGGGAGGAACTGTAAATACAGATTAAGCTTTGCTCACTCACCCGCCACTCACTTCCTGCTGTGTGGCCCAGTTCCTAACAGACCATGGAGCAGTACTGGTCTGTGGCCCGAGGTTTGGGGATCCTTGACACACACTATGTAAATATTTTAATATCTCCCACAGCATCCAGTGGAAGGCATTTTTTCCCTTCATTTGCTTCTTTAATCTATATCTTGTAAGAATCAATCTGCGTGTGAATCAGAAAACATTCTTTAGATTCAGTGCTATGCCTGAAAGAAGGGGATACCAGTGAAACTGAGCTAATCAAGAGCCTTCTCCACAAGTTTATACCTCTTTATAGAAAAAGTTAAAGAGTAAGATTAACTAACAAGATTGTTTATAAATGTTTAAATTCTGTCCACTTAAGGACAGACTCTAGATTTATTATTTATTATTTATTATTTTAGAGACAGGGTCTCACTCTGCTGTCCAGGCTGGAGTGCAGTGATGTGATCACAGCTCACTGCAGCCTTGAACTCCTGGACTCAAGTGATTCACCTGCCTCAGCCTCCCAAAGTGCTGGGATTATAGGCGTGAGCCACCATGCCCAGCCTAGATTTATTTAAATAGTACAACAAATGCCCATTAAAATGCTGGTCTCTATATTTTAAAAAGCAATTCAAATAACTTAAATTCAATTTATATTAATGCAAAGTAAAAGTATTTTTAAATGACTGTTTAATTCAATGCTGTAGCATTCAACTAAATGGTCTTTGAAACCAACTGACTTCTACTGTTACCAGCCAGTAAATAAACATGAATGACTCATTTCTACACTCACATGAATGTTCATTTGCAGTGTCTTTAGAATGCACTGGATTTCAAAATGATCTCTATTATATTTTATTTAATCATGTATATAAATAAACCTGAGATGATTGTATGTTCAACAATCAAGCAAGCTGAATCTCTAGCAGTACCATCTCCAGCAAATAGTCATTTAAGGAAATGAAAAGAAAAAAAAGATTCTAACATCAATGAGACTGAGAGAAGAGGTTCTTTGCAGGTAAGCTGCTCTACTTCAAACCACCATCCCTAGTCCTGGGAAAGTAGGAAGTCAGTGTTATCTCATTATATCAAACTCTGGATTCTTGATTATCATACTCTTGATTCATACAAATACTGACCTTAATTGTATTCAGTTTGTACAAATGGACTCAGCTAAATAAAACCATGGAAATCATTTCTCTAAATACCTTGTCACTTATATGAGTGACCATGAGTAACTAACTTCAGTTAAAATAGGATATAAGTGAAAGTAAATGAACCAGTGGGTGCGAAGTCTAACATGCCTTATTAGCCTAATAGCTATTATAAAAATAATTATTATACCTAACAATGGTGAATTGCTGTGATAGGTGCTTCAAATATATCTATAATAATGACAATGATGATACAGCAATAATAATACTCAGTCAAAGAGAAATAAATAGCTTGTTGCCTGTCAGATGAAGGGAGGGTTCATGAAAACACTATTCTCATAGTACAGACCATGTCGTCTTCAGTGGTCACCATCCCACTTTTACCTTGAACACAATGCAGTCCTTGACTCTTCTTCTGAGATTGAATCAGTACTGGGATCACCATTGCCAAATAATTTCATCCAGAAATAGAGATTATTGCACTTGAATGAAAAAAGAGCCTGGGTGAATTTAGGGTTTGCCTTTGTGAATTTACACTTTTCCAGGCAGAGGATGCTTCCTGAGATGAACCCTGTCCCAGGAAGGTCCAGACATAGTTGCCTTTAAACATCTGGCTCTCTACCTGGAGCCCTTCCTATTATTGCCTGCACAAGCCCTGCTGGGAGGGAATGATAAAGGGAAATTGATACATTTTCCAACCTACTCACACCTACAATTTGTCTTGCCTTTGGTAGTCTCAATGAAACCCACAACCCTAGCCTCAGGTGCCTTCAGTGGGGATATTTTTTGTTTGTTTTGTTTTCTTTTACCAACTTATTCATACATGCCCCATCAGGAATGAACTTTGTTAAGGGAAAAAAAGAATGTGATTTTTTAAGATCCGTGATAGAACATAATCAGAATAAATGCTTTTCTACTGTTATCTTAAAACAAACAAACAAAGATGCCTGACTATATAAAATTCTCAGGCATTTTAGTAATATGGCCAGATAGAAAAAATTCAGAAAGACAGTTATAAGGCATGGTAATAGTGATCCTTTTAATCTATTATGTTCCCTTTCAGAAATTAAGAGAAGGAAGCAATCTCTGTCCCCCATTACATTCCCAAGACAGGCAGCAACTAAGTTCATAAATGAGAGTACCACTTATAGTTATCATTTGAGCACCACCCTTTATGCTAAGTGCTTTAGATGCATTACCTTATTTAATTCTCACAGCAAATTTTGTGGTTTAGAAACCACCATTATTCTAAATATTATCAATGAAGGAAGAGTATTAGCAAAATAAAATAACTTGCCCATGGTAACATAAATCATAAGTGACAGAGTTAGGTCTCAAACACATGTCTCTTTGAATCCAATGCACTTACCGCATGCTATAATGCCTAAAAATACCACTTTGTAAGGCTTGGGCTTATGTTTCAATCTTTGCTTCTAATCAGTGAGCTCCTTCAGGACATAATTTATTTCTCATTAATTTTTATATCTCCAGAGCATGGAATAATGCCTGATACAGAGCAGAAACTCAATGATTGTCAAATGAATAAAATGATGAATTAATAAATGAAGGAATTAATTTTAAAAGGAAACAGAAAATTGAGGTTTGTGCAAAAAGCTAATTCTATACCAAGAATATTATTCCTGTGGTTAGTTTTGTGCCCCTCCATTTACATTGTAGCAACATATGAGTATTTTATGATAAGTATCATTTTTACTTTAGAATTAAATGAAATGCTTTAAAAAATATGTACTTTATCCAGGGATTTAAATGAATGATTGAAATTCCATAATCAGAACATGACACAACCAAACCAGCATATAATCATATGTTTCCCATAATAAGCTACTTGAAATGTTCTTAGGGTTACAATACTGTAATCTAGACATGAGAGGAAGATCTGTGCTCTTGACAACATTCAACACAGGCACTTCAACTGGCTCTGGATAAAAGACAACCTCCTCTTTTGCATTACATAGATGTTCTCTCTTCCCTTATCAGTAAGCAGACAGTCCTGTTACCTTCACATCCTTTGCCATCTTCCTCCAGCTTCTGGCCAGCTTGACATTTGCAGTAATAACTGCCAACTGTATTACAGCATCGATCTTGACAGCCACCATTGTCAATGGTACATTCATTTATATCTGCAAGTGAATAGTCAAACAGAATTAGCCTCTTGTAACTAGACATACAAAAAGAAACTTCGGTGGGTCTCTGTTAAAAATGAACCATCATAGAATGACATCATTATTTAACCTTGGATTAAATGAAATAAAATAATATTTCATTTTAATTAGAATGAATGCACTCTAATTTTGATGTGAAGAAAGAGACAAGTCATAATTTTGGTATCTGAAATATTACTTTTGAACAATAAACTAAGGTATTTTCTAGTCTTACAGATTTGGGAAGCTTATGGTACAGACCCAGAAATTTTACATAGAATCATTTGAGGATGAAATTGAGAACAATGAGAGAAACTAAACTAAGGTCAGGACACTAGGCCACCTGCTTACCCATTAAATATGTTGTTATTGGCTTCTCAAATAATTATTAGTTACCCACCACTATATATATGCCATTGTAGTGGACAGTGTGAGAAAGGTAAAAGGGTATTTCTGTGGTTTCCAAAGTTTAAAATGTAGCTGGAGTTGAGGACTAAACAGAAATGTGATTTGGTTGAGTCCATATACAGGATATGCCCACAGACCACTCCTAAACCTGTGGCCATAAGTCATCTTTATAGACAGGACTCAATTTTATGTATTTATCCAATCCAGTTAACAATTGGCGAGTATTCCAATCCATCTTCAAGTTTGATAGTGGCCTGTGAGGTGGCTTGATTACGGTTCTGCTCAAATGAGGTACCTCTTCTGCATGTTGACTAGCTAACTTGATAGATCCTTGCCTCATGAGATGAGTGTGGCTGGAAGAGGGGATGGAGTGGACAAGGGGGAGGTATGGAGGGGCAGGGAAAAATGGGAGAAAGAGGAAGAGGGAGACAGAGGGAGACAGAGAGAGACAGGGAAGGGAGAGAAGGGTTTGGTCAGGAACAGCAGAAGAAGTAAAGTAGAAGCATAAGCAAAGTCGCACCGAAGTGTGGATCCATCAGAGCAGAAAACAACTGATACTGAAGGACCAGTCAGGTAATAGGCAGACTGAGCAACAATGCATCTTGACTGAATGTAACTGATTTTGTCTGATGTCCTTGCTATGCAGCTTTGACTGTTTTGCTCAAGTTAACTTTTCATTCAAGTGTGTCTGGCTTCTCTCATTCAGCATTGTTTAGGATATACATCCATTTTGTTGCATATACTTGTAGATCACACATTCTTATTCCTGTGTATTGTTCCCTTCTGTGAATATACTACAATATTCATTTCACAAAAGATGAGCATTTAAATATTTTCTTATTTTTGGCTTTTGTGAAGAGTGCTGCTATGAACATTCTCATGCATGTCTTCAATGAGCTTACCAATGTGTTTCTGTTGGATAATACAGTTGACCCTTAAACAATACAGGTTTGAACTATACAGGTCCATTTTATATGTGGATTTTTCTAAATACAGTGGACCCTCTATATCAGCAGGTGCTGCATCCACAACCAAATGTGGATTCAAAGTACAGTATTCACAGGATGTGAAACCTGCATATGTGGAGGGCCTGTTTTTTATATACTCGAGTTCCACAGGGCCAGATGCAGGACTTGAGTATCCACAGATTTTGGCATACACAGGTGTCCTGAAACCAATATACCCCTGCAGCTACTGAGGAGCAGCTGTACATCTAAGACTGGACTTGCTGGGTCAAAAGGTCTAAGGTGTTGTTTAGTATTTATAGACAAATGGTCTTCTTAAAAGGCTATTCTAATTTACACTCCCACCAGTGGTATATTAGAGTTCAGATGCTACTCATTCTTGCCAACATTTGGGATATGCTGGGTTTTTCATTGATCTATTCTGGGAGTTTAATAATAGCATCAGCTTATGATTCTAATTTGCATTTTCCCAGTGATTAATCAGATTAAGCACATTCTCATGTATTGGCCATTTGGATAACATCTTGTTGAAATGCTTGTTCAAATAGCTTTTCCATTTGTCCAATTCTTAAAATATTCATTATTGTACTTGTGGGTCCTCAAATAGGATGCTAAGAAAAAGTGGTGGCAATGGTTATCCTTTTCTTGCTTCAAATCTCAGGAGAGGTTTTAATAGTTCAAGGTAGGTATGATGGGTACTGTAGGGTAGATACAGATAGATATAGATAAATGTTCCTTTCTAATCCTAATTTCTTTCATATTTGATTCATAAACAGGTGTAAAGTTTTATTTACCACTTTTTTGAATCTATAAAGATAATTAGATGTTTTTTCTTATTCTGTTAACATGATAAATAACAGGATTGATTTTTGCATCTCTAAAATAAACCTCGTCATGATACGCTACTTTTTTTATATATGCCTGAGTTCACTTAGGTAATACTTCATTTGGAATTTTTATGATTTTTTCCATGAGACAGATTTGCCTGTACTTTTTCTTTTTGGTAAATAGTCTTGCTTGATTTTGACACCCAGGTCATACTAGATACATCAAAAAAAAAGTTAGAAGTGTTTCCTTCTTTTCTATTGCTGAAATAATCTGTGCAAGATTGGTATAATTTATTAATAAAATGTTTGAAAGAGCTCATTTATGACACTACCTGAGGCCTGGGATTGTGGGGTGCATATGTGTGTGTGTGTGTGTGTGTGTGTGTGTGTGTGTGTGTGTGTGTGTGCAGGCTTTCAATTACAGATTCAATTTCTTTGATATAATAATATTCAGATTTTTATTTAAATATGTGGGATAAATCATGTGTTTCAAGGAATTTGTCCCTTTCGTATTAATGTTCAAATGTATTACTGTTAAGTTGCTCATAATATTCTCATACTACTGTTTTAAATGTCTGTCCAATTGTGCTGAGGTCACCCTTCCTATTCCTGAAATTCATGTGTGTCTTCTCTTTTGTTTCTTATCAGTTTTGCTAGGAATTTGTGAGTTTTATCTATCTATCTTGGCTATCTATCATCTATCTATTTTAGTCTTTTCCTAAAAAAGCCCTGTAGCTCTACTGATTTTTCAGCATTGCACATTTTTCCCACATAATTAATTTGTGCTGTGATCTTTATCATTGCCTTTATTCTACTTCCTTGGGTTTCTTTCACTGTTCTGCTTCTAAGTTCTTAGATGGAAATTTAGATAATTGATTTTCAGTCTTTCTTTTAAAAAATATTCCTGGTTATCTGTAAACATGTAACCAATCACCTTAACACTAAGTGGCTTAGAAAGACAACTTACTATTATTTTCCACCTGTCTAGGGATTCTCAGGTAATAATCAACTGGTTGGTGCTCATTTGGGGTCCTACAGAAGGTAGTAGTAAGGTGACAGCTAGAGGTAGACCTGCATGGAGGCTTTGACACTCCCATGTTGGGATTTGGGCTGAGATGGTCAGAACATCTGGGTGGCTAGTCAGATGTCTCCCCCTCTCTCCATGAAGCTCCCCACATGCCAAACTCCTGCTTTTCTCCTGCTTGGTGTCCTCAGGGTGGAGGACCGGTGGCTTACCTCCCCCAGGGAGACTATTAAAGCAGATTTAAAGACAAGTTGCAAGGTTTCTTATGATCTAGCCTTGGAAGTCACATAGCCTAACTTCTTAGACTTTTGTTAGTTAAAGCAGTCACAGGCCAGCAGAGATTCTGGAAGGGTGGAGAATTCCTCCTATCAATCAGGGAATTGAATACACTGTGTCAAAACAAGGAAAAAATTGATGGCGGCCTTGTTGGAAAGACCACATCACACTCATATGTTTGTTTCCCTAAAAATAAAAGTATTAGCTGCACACCACAGATTTTAATGTTTCATTTTAATTATCATCGACACAAACTATTTCCTAATCTACATAAATATTTCTTCTTTGGGTTATTTTGAAGTATGTTTTGGGATTTTTTTTTTACACATTTGAGGAATTTTCAATCATCTTGTTATGAAATGCTAGACTAATTCCATGGTGAACAAAGAATATACTCTGCATGATTTCAATTCTTTACAATTTGTTAAGGCTTGCTTTATATTTTAGCACATGGTCAATTCTTTTTTTTTTAAAAAAAATCTATATTTACTGGAAAATAATGTACACTCTTCAATGGTCAGATGCTATATTTTCTGTATGTACATATGTGCATGTATACAACATATACTTACATATATTATACATGTAATATTTCAAATATGTACAAATATGTAAATTTATTTGATTTGTTAATCATGATTTTCATATCTCTATATATTTAATAATTTTTTCATATGCTTGTTCTATCAGTTAGCAAGACAAGCATAGTGAAATTGCTTTATTTAATTTTACATGTGCCCTTTTCTGACTGCAATTTTTGTTTCATATAATTTGAAGCTCTATTATGAGGGGCATACAAACTTAGGATCCCCACATCTTCCTAGTAGATTAACACTTTGTTATTATAAAATGTTCCTCTTTAAATCTAGCTATGCTTTTTTCATTAAAGTTGAATTTTTGATGTTATAGCTGTATCAGTTTTCTTTTGGTTAGTTTTTTGTTGTTGTTGTTTAGTTTTATTATTATACTTTAGGTTCTAGGGTACATGTGCACAATGTGCAGATTTGTTAAATATGTATACATGTGCCTTGTTGGTGTGCTGCACCCATTAACTCGTCATTTACATTACGTATATCTCCTAATGCTTTCCCTCCCCCCTTCCCCCACCCCACAACAGGCCCTGGTGTGTGATGTCCCCTTCCTGCATCCATGTGTTCTCATTGTTCAGTTCCCACCTATGAGTGAGAACATGTGGTGTTTGGGTTTTTGTTCTTGCAATAGTTTGCTGAGAATGATGGTTTCCAGCATCATCCGTGTCCCTACAAAGGACATGAATTCATCCTTTTTTATGGCTGCATAGTATTCCATGGTGTATATGTGCCACATTTTCTTAATCCAGTCTATCATTGATGGACATTTGGGTTGGTTCCAAGTCTTTGCTATTGTGAACAGTGTCGCAATAAACATACGTGTGCATGCACGTGCCTTTATATCAGCATGATTTATAATCCTTTGGGTATATACCCAGTAATGGGATGGCTGGGTCAAATGGGATTTCTAGTTCTAGATCCTTGAGGAATTGCCACACTGTCTTCCACAATGGTTGAACTAGTTTACAGTCCCACCAACAGTGTAAAAGTGTTCCTGTTTCTCCACATCCTCTCTAGCACCTGTTGTTTCCTGACTTTTTAATGATTGCCATTCTAACTGATGTGAGATGGTATCTCATTGTGGTTTTGATTTGCATTTCTCTGATGGCCAGTGATGATGAGCATTTTTTCATGTTTCTTTTGGCTGCATAAATGTCTTCTTTTGAGAAGTGTCTGCTCATATCCTTTGCCCACTCTTTGATGGAGTTGTTTTTTTCTTGTAAATTTGTTTGAGTTCATTGTAGATTCTGGGTATTAGCCCTTTGTCAGATGAGTAGATTGCAAAAATTTTCTCCCATTCTGTAGGTTGCCTGTTCACGCTGATGGTAGTTTCTTCTGCTGTGCAGAAGCTCTTTAGTTTAATTAGATCCCATTTGTCAATTTTGGCTTTTGTTGCCATTGCTTTTGGTGTTTTAGACATGAAGTCCTTGCCCATGCCTATGTCCTGAATGGTAGTGCCTAGGTTTTCTTCTAGGGTTTTTATGGTTTTAGGTCTAACATTTCAGTCTTTAATCCATCTTGAATTAATTTTTGTATAAGGTGTAAGGAAGGGATCCAGTTTCAGCTTTCTACATATGGCTAGCCAGTTTTCCCAGCACCATTTATTAAATAGGGAATCCTTTCCCCATTTCTTGTTTTTGTCAGGTTTGTCAAAGATCAGATGGTTGTAGATGTGTGGTATTATTTCTGAGGGCTCTGTTTGGTTCCATTGGTCTATATCTCTGTTTTGGTACCAGTTCAGGCTGTTTTGGTTATTGTAGCCTTGTAGTATAGTTTGAAGTCAGGTAGCGTGATGCCTCCAGCTTTGTTCTTTTGGTTTAGGATTGTCTTGGAAATGTGGGCTCTTTTTTGGTTCCATATGAACTTTAAAGTAGTTTTTTCCAATTCTGTGAAGAAAGTCATTGGTAGCTTGATGGGGATGGCACTGAATCTATAAATTACCTTGGGCAGTATGGCCATTTTCACGATATTGATTCTTCCTATCCATGAGCATGGAATGTTCTTCCATTTGTTTGTATCCTCTTTTATTTCATTGATGACTTTGCATGTCATTTCATTTTCTAAACTTTAGTTTTTCCCTTTTTTTGTATTCATATATCTGAGAAATTCTCTCTCTATATATAAATATACCTGTATATACATTATTTTAATATATTTTAAACATCTTTGACTTTTAGCTGTAGTATCATATCATTGACGTTTAATGTAATTGCTAACATATTTGGATTAAATTTATCATTTTATTGTTTTTCTAAATTCCCCATAGATTTTATATTACTTTTATGCTCAACTCTTACTTTTCTCAAAATTTATTTTCGGTGTTCTATTTGCCCTTTTTATTAGACTGTCGGTCATATATTCCTTTGTTATTCTTTTAGTGGTAATTCTAGATATTAAAACATCTATTATTAAAATCTAATATAAATTAGTACTTTAACCGCTTCCCATATAATGCTAGAACCTTACAGTTTAACTCTTTTAAAGCTTTTCCTACCTATTATATTATTGTTATTATGTATTTTATTTTTGGATATTTAAACCCCATAAGACATCATAGTTATTATTTTATATATTCAGAAGTAATTTAGGTTTATTCACATAGTTACCTTTTCTGGCATTCTTTATTGCTTCCTTCATTTCTGTGCTTCTTTCCAGAATAATGTCCTTTGGCCTGAAAATTGCTCTTAGTATTTCTTTTCATATGGATCTGCTGGCAACATTTTTTTCATATTTAGTCAGGAAATGGCAATATCAAAAAAGGTGATTTTTTTACCTTAATTTTTAAATAAAATATGTTAGCTTTTTTTAGATTTACAGAAAAATCTTAAAGAGTACAGAGTTCACATGTACTCCAACATCCCATATTTCACTGTTTTAAACATCTTATTAGTATAGCACATTAGTTATAATTAATAACCTAATATTGATAGATTGTATTATCTAGTGCATATTTAAATAAAATTTCCTTAGCTTTGACCTAATGTTCTTTTCCTGTCCCAGGATGTCTCCCAGAATTTTATATTTAGTTGTCATGGTCCTTAGGTTCTTCTTGACTATGACAGTTTCTCAGACTTTCCTTAGTTTTGATGACTTTGATGGTTTTGAGAAATACTGGGCAGGCATCCTATAAAATGTCTCTCCATTTGGATTTTTGTAGTGTTTTTCTTATTTTAAACAGGGATTGTGGGTTATAAGGAGGAAGATTATAGAGGTAAAGTGTCTTTATTACCTCAACATGACTTAGCACTATTGATGTTGACCTCGATCCCTGGCTGATGTAGCATTTGTCAGGTTTCTCCATTCTAGAGTAACAAAGTTACACTATTTTTTTCCTCTTTCCATAGTCTTTGGAGCAAAGTCATTATGTACAGCCCACACACAGAAAGTGGAGAGAAATGCTCCCTCTTGAGGGCAGAGTATCTAAACAAATTATTTGGAACTCTTATGTAGAGATCTGCCTCTTCTCCATTTATAGTTACACCTGATGTTTTCAATAATATTTTCAGTGGAATAGAATTCTAGAGGTTTTTAAAAAGCTTATTAGCAGTGTCATTCTATCATCACTTAAATTTCCTTTTGAAAGTAATCTGATTGTTTTTCTCTGTGTGCTTTTAAGATTTTCCCTTTGATTGGTTAACGAATACAACATAACAGTTAGATTGGAAGAATAAGTTCCAGTACTTTATTGCACAGTAGGGTGACTATAGCTAACAATAAATGTATTGTATATTTGAAATGGCTATACGACAGGATTTTGAATGCTTCTATAATTAAGAAATGATAAATGTTTAAGGTGATAGATATGCTAGTTACCATGATTTTACCATTACACAATGTATATATGTATCAAAACACATTGTGCCTCATAAATATGTACAATTATGCTGTGTCAAAATTTTACTTTTGTTATTTTTCTACATATATTTTACTATGATGTACCGTGATGTTTTTCTTTGTAGTTTTCCTCCTTGCAATTTGTAGTGCATTTTGATTTTGTAGTTAGATGTCCTTCAGTTTAAAGAAATTGTCTCACCAGTATCTATTCAAATATTGCTTTTGTCTCATTTTTATTGTCCTTTCTTTCTAGTACTTCCATACACAGGCTTATGATACCTATTATCTATACATCATTTGCTTCATGCTATTTTCTATTATATTTTATTATTTTTTGTTGTTTGCTTCAGTAGAGATAGCCTACTGACCTTTCAGGTTGTCAATTCCATAATAAGTTGTTTATAATATGCCATTAATCCCATCTATTACATTTGCTATTAAAGTTATTTCCTTTTTCATTTCAACTATTTGCAGTTGATTCTTTTATAAATCCTACTTCTCCAGTAAAAATTTCCATCTTGTCACAGCTTTTCTTGTTTTTATAATTCCACTCTTCTCTGTCTTGCTTTATGATAAATACAGGAGCTGGACCCTGTAAATATTTCTCCCTTGCCAGCTTCTTGTTGAGCCTTCTTAGCAGAGGGCTCTGGAGGAAAACTGCAAGAGGAAGAAAACTCTCACTGTAGTATCAATATAATTTGTTTTTCAGGCTTGTGCATTGTGGCTGCCAGCTGGCCACTTTCTTGTCAATGGGTAGCTTCTTCACCAGTGAGCAGCTATTTTGCCAGTGGTATACAAAAAACCTAGAAGTGAATACCATTAAGCAAGTTTTACCAGTCCTCCAGTAGGCAGCTTCCCAGTGAATTTCAGTGCCACCCCAGTGGACATGTTCCTGCCCATCATCCCTGAGCAGCAGCATTTCAGAAAACTTTCCTGCCATCCAGTGAGCCATAGCCATACCCTTTCCAGTGAGATTTGACTTTCAACCTGGCCAGGGAATTGACAGGATGCTTCCAAGTTTGTTTCACTCTTGGGTACTCTCCTCCAGTCCTAGACATGGTGGCCACTTTCTACATATGCTATTCCTATATTCTTCAACATTCTGTTTACCCCTTTTAGTACTTTATCTTTAGTTCTAATTCATAATTCTTCATAGTATTTTTTTCTCTGACCAAATCAATTTGTGGTTTCTGTCTCTTATGGATTCTCACTGGTACACCTTTTCTCCAGTATCTTGATCCTTCAGATTTTGGCTTCTCTGGTAATTCTGAATTTCAGTTTATGTCTCCCCAGCCTGCTGGGACTGCTGACTGTTCAACATACCTTTTCTTCCTACTAGCAGCCACTTTCTTCCTACCTTTTCAGCCTTTTTCACTGTGTCACTCATGAATCAATCCCTTGATAAGAAAGCTCACCTCAGTGGCTTTCCTGGCTGCCACAATATTCTCTAATATCTTCAGATGTGTGGTTTTTTTAATATTACATACAACATTTCTAGTTGTTGTCAGCAAGATAATTGGTCTGCTACTACTTATCCCATCATAGCCAGAAAGAGAAGGCCTAGTCACACTATTTCTTGATCCTCTTTACTTTCCATTACAATATTCCAAAGAAAATTCCATTAACTGAAACTTTATGTGCTTGTTTATTTTGCTTACACCTGATTCTGTCAAGAAGCCAGGCATTCATGACTAATAAACGTGTAGTAATTAACAAAGAATATATGGCTTTATAATTAAGTCCTATGCTTTGTGCTGCAGAATATCATAGAGAGAAAGATCAATAAAGGCTGATTACCTAAGGGAAATTGGAGTATAAGTTTACATACAAGTTTAGATATTATTTTTTAAACTTAGTTTGTTAAAGAAGGGGACAGGTGTTGGAATAAGCCCAGTTTCAGGAATCCATATCTCCACTCTTAAGAATTTATCCAAAGATATAGTCCAAAGCAATTAAACTATGTTAGATACCTTCCATACATAATATCATGCAGGCCTCATAATGAACTGACAAGATCATATGAAGTTATTCAAAAAAGTATTGTCATTAAAAGGAAAGTGAAGAACACACACACACACACACACACACACACACACACATCAAGCAAAAACATTGGTAACAATTTAAATGTTCACCAATACGGAAATAACCAAGTAAGTTAAACGTATTACTTGAACGCAGTTATTAAAATTATAATTGCAATGACTTATGCAACAATATGAGAAACCGTTTTCCTGAAATGGATTACAAATTGTTTCTGTGTTTTAGTTGCAACTACAAAAGCTACCTATTCTTATGGAGAAAATCTGAAAAGCTTTAAGAAATAAATAATTTGATCTAGAACAATGGTAGAGTTATGTCATTTAAAGTCTTCATTTTTGTTGTTATAATATTGCTTGTGCCATCATTATTTTAAAAAAATAGGTCTGAGATTTCTGATAGGTAATTTTAAAAAGAGAATAAAACAAGAAGTTATATAATTTTCCATGACTGTTGAAAAGGAAATATTTGTTTTTCAGGAGGGACAGACTTTATGGACATTAAATTCCATAGGAATATCTTACATGAGTTTTGAATATAAGGGTCATTGGATAAAACAATGACAAAGTCTCCAAAAGAGGTTTTTCAAAAAATGTGAAATATTTCCTAATTTATTTTTTTTTTAAATAATGGTGACCTTTACTAAAACATAAGACCTAATATAACAACATACTATGGCAAAATTACTTTAATGGACAGCTAGGTTAATATAGTCCAGTCAAATTGCTTCTGCCTGGCTTTACCTGAAATAAATACAGAAATTTTAAAACAAAAGTAATGTCGGGTTTTCATAGTCCTGAAAAGGGCTTCAGAAACTAATTTATACTTTTGGATCAAATACATGTTTACTATGTCCACCAGTTTTTTCCACAACTTATTCCATCATACTGAGCAACCTGACTCATTTATTTGACTGGATCTGACTTTTACTCTTCCGAGCTGAAAGACTGCGCTTCATATCCTTAAGGATTCAAAGAGCTGTCTCAGGGAGTGCCTAGACAGAGACAGAGTGTAGTGTGAGACAGAGGCCCACCCTAGCATATAACCAATTCAGTAAGTGAAAAACTGCTTTAATGTGTTTTACATATTGGATAGCTCTCAATTTAGAATTTGTTTGAATAAAGTGGTCAGTTTGATTGATGAAAATATTTGAAAATTTCTTCCTTAGGCTGTCATATCTGGTATGGGAGAATTGAAAGCAAAGCCTTTTACTCATAAGGAATGTGAACAACTGTATCTCTGTGAGATAATATTAGAGAAAATTATCAATAAAGATACATTAAAATAATGAATATCATGTATAAGTGTCCCTTTCCACATATGTCTATTTACCTTAAACCTAACAATTATGCACATTATTAACAAATGTCAAATATCAAATTAAATTTGGCCATTATCAAATCAAACTGTAAGATCGGACAGACATTGGCAGATGTTAAGAAATAAAAGACAATTAGTGGTTTTGTTGGTCAAAATAATTAGTAAATAAAAATAACATTAAAAAGGACTTAAAATATCCTTTCTGCTTAGATGGAATTTTAGTAAAATATAAAATAGCTATGGATACTTTAAAAATATTTTTTACATTTTTGGAGCTAGAATAACACCATGGTTAAAAAGCATAAATGGAAAGGCTGATAAACTTCCCATGTAAACTTTAGACTCTATTATTCAGAGTGACCAAAACTCAAAGATAAATAAGAAATGAAGAAAACAATATTGACACACATAAGGTGAAGGGTACATATCATATATATCTATACATATATATCTATACACACATATGTAAGATTTATATTAACTATATGTATATAAGGAAAAGGTAAACATTCACAAACAGAAATTGAGTCTAATAAAAGGAAATAAATTGATTTAAAAAGTCAGAAATAAAAATGTAAAAAAGATGTCAAATGCTGTTGAATCTTATTGGTAGGTAAAAAAGTAAAACCAAAATAAAATTAATCCTATTAATTCTCTATGAAATTTATAAAGATGAAAATCAGTGCTGCTGTAAAGGCAGTAAAGGTGTGGCAAAAAGGCCATACCATACTTTGCTAACAGGAGCACAAAGTAGGAACAGTTTCTGAAATTCAAGTGGTTACAAATATCAGAATATGCATATACTTTTCTCTGCAGCAATTCTACTTTCAAGAAAATATATATTTATTTATTTATTTTAATTAATTAATTTATTTATTTATTTTTGAGACAGAGTTTCGCTCTGTCGCCCAGGCTGGAGTAGTGCAATGATGCAATCTCAGCTCACTGCAACCTCCGCCTCCCAGTTCAAGTGATTCTCCCTGCCTCAGGCTCCCAAGTAACTGGGATTACAGGTGACCACCACCACACCCAGCGAATTTTTGTAGTTTTAGCAGAGACAGGGTTTTGCCATGTTGGCCAGGCTGGTCTCGAACTCCTGACCTCAGATGATCTGCCCGCCTTGGCCTCCCAAAGTGCTAGGATTACAGGCGTGAGCAACCACACCCAGTCTCAAGAACATATCTTAAGGATATAATCACAATGTGCATAATGATTTATGTATTTTTAATATCACAGAAAAAAATAGGAGCTATCTAAATATCAGTCGAATTTTAAGTAGATTATGACACATCCAAAGAACCATTATACCATAATTAACAATTAGTCACATTCTAAAGTAATATTTATTTACCTCTGCCAATGTCTTGACATATTAAAGATGTGTTTATTACTTATATTTACATTTACGATGGTGATTCCATATGTATCTGCTTATCTATCAATATATATTTTTGGAAAAAAAATGAAAAGAGATAGTCAAATATGCTAACAGTGACTATGTTCATTTGAAAAGACTGGTCAGGCACGGTGGCTCACGCCTGTAATCCCAGCACTTTTGAGATGCCAAGGTGGGTGGATCACTTGAGACAAGGAGTTAGAGACCAGCCTGGGCAACA
This sequence comes from Homo sapiens, assembly GCF_000001405.40. Taxonomy (NCBI): domain Eukaryota; kingdom Metazoa; phylum Chordata; class Mammalia; order Primates; family Hominidae; genus Homo; species Homo sapiens. Next base: position 168,632,328 of record NC_000003.12, on the reverse strand, counting down.
TGATGAAACCCCACCTTTACTAAAAATACAAAAATTAGGTGGGCATGGTGGTGTATGCCTATAATCCCAGCTACTTGGGAGGCTGAGGCAGGAGAATCACTTGAACCCAGGAGGGGGAGGTTACAGTGTGCCAAGATCATGCCACTGCACTCCAGCCTGGGTGACAGAGCAAGACTCCATTCCCCAGCCCCCCTCCGCCAAAAAAAAACGACTAAGAATGGTTTTTGTTTTGTTGTTCTGTATTTGCCTGTTTCCCCAACTTCTTTGCAATAAGCATACTTTCAGGAAAAATTGCACAACAAATAAAACAAACATTTCCTAAAGTTTCATACTACCATCTTTCCTTTTTATAGACTTTCTGCCATGGTGCACAATTTTATCACTTTTGGTACAAAATCTGTATTCACCTGAATTTTAAAATATGTAGTGTGGTTTTCTAAAATGAATGATCTTCAAGATGTTGCTTGTTGAGTTGCTTTCTAAAGAGCTTAAAGCTACTCCATGATATGGAACGTCAGTATTCTATTTAGTCAATTTCTACAGCCAAAGTTGTATCAATCTATCAGTTGATTGCTCCATGCCTGACAAAACAGCAATGCACATGAAGGCTTCCGATCAGAAGAACTCTTCACATTCAAATTATAATGACAGCATTATAGAATACCGTTAGTGGAAGTTATAGAAGAGATCATGTATTCCCCTGAATACTCAACCCACACTTATACACTGAAAGTGTGATGAAAAGAAAGGATGTCACACGTCCATACCAGAAAACTGAGGAAAAACTCTTTTGGACATTGGACTGGGAAAGGATTTATGACTAAATCCTCAAAAGTAAATGCAACAAAAACAAAAGTAGACAAATTGAACTTCATTAAACCAAAAAGCTTCTGCACAGCAAAAGAAATAATCAACAGAGTAAACAGTTTACAGAATGGGAGAAAATATTTGCAAACTATGCATCCAGAAAAGGACTAATATCCAGACTCAAACAACTCAACAAGAAAACAAACAAACAAATAACCCCATTAAAAAGTGGGCAAAAAACATGAACAGACTATTTTCAAAAACAGAGATATAAGCAGCCAACAAACATATGAAAAAATGTTCAACATCATTAATCATCAGAGAAATGCAAACTAAAACCAAAATGAGATGCCATCTTATAGCAGTAAGAATAGCTACTATTAAAAAGTCAAAAATCAACAAACGTTGGTTAGGGTGCAGAGAAAAGGGAAGGCCTATACATTGTTGGTGAGAATGTAAATTAGTACAACGACTAGGGAAAACACTGATTTCTCAAAGAACTAAAAGTAGAACGACTTCAATTCTGCCACTCAAAGGAAAATAAGCCACTATATTAAAAAGACACCTGCACTTGTATGTTTGTTGCAGCACTATTCACAATAGCAAAGACATGGAATCAACCTTAGTATCCATCTAATGAATGACTGGATAAAGAAAATGTTGTATATATACCATAAAGTACTATTCAGTCATAAAAAAAGAACGAAATCATGTCCCTTGCAACAACATGGATGAAAATGGAGGCTAATATCCTGAGTGAAATAACTCAGAAACAGAAAGTCAAATACTGCAATGTTCTCACTAATAAGTGGGAGCTAAACATTGAAATCATGTCCCTTGCAACAACATGGATGAAAATGGAGGCTATTATCCTGAGCAAAATAACTCAGAAACAGAAAGTCAAATACTGCATGTTCTCACTTATAAGTGGGAGCTAAATGCTGAGCACACATGAACATACAGAGTAGAAAAATAGAAACTGGAGACTCCAAAAGGTGGGAGTGGGGATAGGAGTGGTATGGGGATGGAAAAGTTACCTGTCAGGTACAATGTTCATGATTTGGGCAATGGGTGCACTAAAAGTTCAGACTTCACCACTAAGCAATATATCCATGTAACAAAACTATACTTGTATTAACCAAATCTATAAAAATAAAAATTTAAAATTAAACCCTTTCAAGAAAACTAAATTTAACAGGCAGGCAGCTTCCCTGGATAGGTGACAATTCCAAATGGAATGGCTTTAATATGGCTTAATTAGGTCTTGATCTACTACAGCACAAATGAGCACAAAGTAAACTCCTTTATGAAATATTAGTCCCTAACTTTATAAATCTTAATTTTGTCATCTCTATAGTAAGGAGAAACAAAATAACTACTTCATAAGGCTATTGTGAGAATCAAATTAGATAATTCTTTTAAAATGCTTAGCACCGTTTCTAGCATAAACTCTATAAGCAGTAGATTTTAGTATTATAATTATTAGCTAAACACTAGCTATTGTTATCACATGCTTGAAAATTCAAACCTGGTTCACAGAAGGTGCTCAATTGCTTTCTTATTTAATTTGTACTGAACATAAATTCAGTTTTAATATGGATGGAATTACAAGTTCATAGTAACATATGCCACATTTTTGCTCCAAAACACAGAAAGCTCAAAAACAATCTTGCTTTTTCACTGACAGCACTATTACTATGCAATTTTGCTGCATGTAAGTATAAGCTGAGATTTTTAAAAAATTCACTGAATAATCCACCCAAAGATAAACTCTATTACTAGTATATTTTCACTAATCAGTTACATATTGATATTAATAAATAACAGACATATACATGCATTTCTCATTCTGTTGTTTCTCACTTAATTTAAAAAAATAGGAAAACATGGTGCATGTTTGGTGGCCTCTGGTTACTCAAGGAAAAAAAAAGAATGAAAATACAAAGTTGTTACTATCCACTGAAAATCAGTGTTTATAAGTAAACAAATTGAAAGTCGTTGACTTTGAAGATGGTTCTGAAAACCAGGTCAATACTTAGTATTTTAAGTAGCAGTTTTATAAGATATTCACTGCATGATAGATTTCAGGCTGTTTCACGTGCATGTGTCCAATGTCATTCAAGATTGTAAATAAATCTGGCCTTTCAGAAGCAAAATGAATGACAAAAATTTTCTGGCTTATAGCAAGTCTTCCAGGTTAGGCACGACAAAAGTTCAATGATATCATCAAGGCTATCAATCCATCTGTAATGGCATACTGCAGTCTCTTCAACAATTAAATATGATGTTTGTAAGAGCAGTGTTGCATTTCTGCTTGTAGGACAAAAAACACAATAGAGCTGCAAACACATAAAAGTTCTGTTTAAATTAGCTACACAAATAAGTTATTAATTTTTATTTTTAAAAAAATGTGTGGATTTGGGATCCTTAATATTTGATCATTTTCCTAAAACAGACTTCTATTTTAAGTTGTGTGATCCATTTAGTCTGTGGTTATACAATTTTAGTGATAGCTTATACTGCTTTCAGGGATGTGTCAAATAAACAGAACAGAGGTGGCACAACATAAAATGAAGAGGCAAAAGGAGAAGAGTTTCAATTTAATTCACATCCTTCTCCAAACCAAATATATTTGATTCAATTTAGCATGTATATTTTTGCTTATTTTTTTAAAAAAAGATTGGGTGTATTTGCTTTGTGAAAATTATCCAAAAAGTGCAAACACATCTTATGTATCATAGTCATTTTCAAATCAATAGACTTCATGAAGTGATGACCTAAGCTTTTTGTTGCAATTAGCTTTTCAACCAGTCAATTTCTCTTTAGGTCTCAGGCTTAATGTAATTCTCTGTAGGTTAAAGTGAGCTATGGCATTAATCAACATCTCTAGAAAATTCATATATGCCCACAAATAATTGGGAAGTGCATTTAAACAATGTTTTGGTCTTTATGCTCTCATTGTTTAGAATATAAAATTATACATGAAGTATAATAAATATATTATCTGTTCTGAAGAATTTAGATAATACTAATGGAATAACTGTTATAAATGGTTTTAATTTTAGGATTTTACTTAAAATGATGTATATGCAGTTCCATTTCAAGACCTGAGTAAGTTGTTTTATTCTTAGTCACTAGGGACAAACTGAGAGCCTCAAAAAAGAAAAATCTTGACCTTCATGAGTCTCCTAAGGCTCAACCAACTTCCTCCTTATACTATTCATCATTGATAGTGGAGATAAAGAAAGGAGGAATGGACAATCATAGTTACCAGGCAACAGAATGTTGAACTTCAGGCACTGAAGATATAGGTTTGAATTCTAGTTCTACCACTTCTGTGAGATTCTGTGCAATTCACTTCACTATTGTGAACCTCCTCTTACTCATTTGAAAAAGAGGATGATGATACTTCATAGAAATATTAAGAAATACAACTGTGATACTACCTATGAAAATACCTTGTAAATTTTGAAACCCAGCATAAGTGCACTCACAGGTACTAAACACAAATGCTTTATATTTTTTCTTTCATATTTCTACTAGTGGACTTTTAAAAGAGTTGCAGCAGAAATTCACCTAATAAAGGGTGTTATGGAAAAAATCAAGTCACATTTCGGTAGGAAAGAAACTTACATTAAACTATGGCTACTTTAAATAAGTGAAACCAGAATATTGAAAACTGAGCTATTATATGATAACGTAGCCACAAAATGAAGCCAACATTTCTAAAGATAAAATTATTTTTAAAGTACTTTTCAAAAGGTGATAAAAACACTAAAACTAAAGTTATGTTGACTTGAAGCATATGTCATCTCTCACTAGACTTGTAACAAATCAGTAAATTAACTCTAAAATGATTTACCTTCTTACTGTAGTCTTTATCTGTTAATAATTAGGTTATATTTAAAATATTTGGGGTGTTTTTTAAGCTATTTTTAACTGAAATTTTCAGTTAAATTAATAATCACATACTAACTATTGTGACATGCTCAGGGCTATGGGGTTTGGACTGCATCTGAAACTGACATTCTGTATTTACTTGGATAATTCACTTATTCTTTTTATTCTTCAGTTTCTTCATCTGTAAAATGAGTGTAATAGAAATCATACCTACTCCATAAGTTGTTGTGAAGATTAAATGAATTATTACATGTTGAATGAACAGTCTTAAAGTAAGGACTCAATAAGTATGACATTAATACTGTTATCATTGTTTCCCAAATGTTAGTTACATATGAAACTTGTTCTCTCTCTTCCTTTTTTTGTTTTCTTTTTGTCTAATTCATAGCAAGGAAGCTTTCTGTATTAGTCCGTTTTCATGCTGCTGATAAAGACATACCCGAGACTGGGCAATTTATACAGGAAGAAAGGTTTAATGGACTTAGAGTTCCACGTAGCTGGGGAGGCCTCACAATCATGGCAGAAGGAGGAGCAAGTGACGTCTTACACGGATGGTGGTGGGCAAAGAGAGAGAGCTTGTGTAGGGGAACTCCTCTTTATAAAGTCATCAGATCTCGTGAGACTTATTCACTATCACGAGAGCAGCACGGGAAAGACTTGCCCCCATGTTCAATTACATCTCACCGGGTCCCTCCCACAACACCTGGGAATTCAAGATGAAATTTGGGTGGGAACACAGCCAAACCATATCATTTTTCAAGGAAAATTGCCTTTAATTCAAATTCCTCATGAACTTTATAAATAATTCTCATTAAGTAGCTCCAAAAGCTGGGTCCACTGTGTGATGTGGTGGAAGGTTGCATGTTTGAAGAATGTACAGTCGCAGTGAATTCTCAGCTTTTCTCCATAAAGGCAAAAAGTCACAGGCACAAATTTACAACACAACTAGCAGAAATCTGATGACATAAATTCAATTAGCTCTTGTGGTCTATATTTTCCTTACCTTATCAATAACACAAATTAGTTATAATGAATAATTACAATTACCAATTATATATTGTTTCACATAATCAAAATTTGTATATTTGCTTCATATTTTCACATTTAGGGTTTCATTTGAACTTCACACATCAGGGAGGTAGAGTAGGTCTTATTATTAATAATAGTGGAATATAACTTTTCCAATTGTGGTAGCCATAATTGAGAAACTTGTATCCCACAAGAGCATTAAAAAAAAAATCACATGAGCCTCTATAGCCTGAAGTAAAAGGAGATGTCCTAAATCTATCTTTCAGCTGAATTCTCAAATCCTCCTTCATTCATGCATCATTAGAAGACAATGGTAGGAACAGATGTCACATTAGTGCGAATAATATTTGTTTTAAACATGACATTTATCTATCCTTCAACATGTCAAGGAGATACATTTTAAATTCATTTATTTATGAAGTACAAGACTCTTTATGTCCTGGAAACTTTCCTGGTCTAAGGTATGACAAGCAAACTCAACTAGTGAGTTACATTTTATAAATAAGAAAACTTAGGGTCTAAGAGATTATAGTCATTCCTTCACTTAGTAAATATTTATAAAACATCTTCATGCTGGACCCAGGTTATCCAAGGATCAACCTCACTATTATTATAAAAGATAAGCCCTCATTCTCATGCTAAGTAAGCTTACTGGCTAGTGTGGTATATACAATTCAACGAGTTGCTGTAAACCAAGCAAATGCAATATTAAAATTCAAAATCATTAAATCCAAGCTTTCTGGCTCCACAGTAGCTTTAGTCTTCCCTACTCCAAGCTACATATTTAGAAATTATTGCCCCTCATTAAAAAAAATTATTGTTTCCCCTCCCTATCTAAACAGCCATATTATTTTAATATGGTTGAAGTCATTACCCAGATGATGCAATATATATCTACCCAATCACTGGACAGTCAGCTTTTGCAATTGTGACAACTGACATGTTTATGAGCCTATTAAACATTCTCTTATTCTTACTTCATTTAATTTTCAATCATAAAAGGAAGAGCTCACTATGCAAAAACATTTTCTGTGCCTCTGAATATTGATTTCAAGAAGTGATTTTTACACACATTCATGTAACATGAAGGTTTTTACTTAAACCTGAAGGAATATCCATAAATCTTCTTAAGACTTGTTTTCTGGCATAGGAGTAGGAGAGGAGCTCTGGAGTCAGAGTGGGTTCAAATTTTGGCTTTCCCACTTATTAACTGTGTAACTGTTTCTGTTGATATTGCTCTGCAACAAATCACCCCAATATGTGGTGACTGAAAACAATGATTATTTTGTTATCTTACTGTTTCTGTGGGTCAGGACATTGGGACAGGCTGGGCTAGGCAGTACTTACTGGCTCCAGAACTCTCATGCAGTTGTAATCAGTGGCTGGAGCTGGAAGGGCAGTGAGGAATTAGAGCTTTTGAGGGCTACCCAGACTCACTCACTTACTCTTTCTCGCTCTCTCTCTCTCTCTCTCTCTCTCTCAATCTCTAGCTTCCCCTGGTGGCTTCTCATTTAGGCTACTTTGGGCTTGCTCCAAGCATAGCAGCTTGGGGCTCCAGCAGTATTCCAGTGATTAAGGTGGATGTTGTATCTTCTTTCCTGATCTAGCCATTGAAGTGACTTCTTGTCATTTCTGACACATTCTGTAGGTTTCATGCCAGTCCCAAACCAATACAATTCAAGCAGAAGACCTAGACCTCCCCTTTTACTGTGGTAATGGCAAGGTTTGAGAAGAATTTAAATAGAGAGAGAGATTGTTACAGCCATTTTTGGAAAATAAAATATGGCACAGAGAGCTTGGTCAAGTTACCTAACTTTTCTATGCCTCCATTTCCTCATCTATAAAATGGGCGTAATATATAGCACTTCATAGGATTTTCTTGAGGTTTAAAATAATTACTACAGTTTAATTGCTTAGAACCTTGCCTGACACAGAATGCCACCTCATAACCTTTAACTACCATTAATGTCTCCAAGTCTCAGAATAAATATCACCTCTTCTATAAAGCCCCCCACCACTACTCTCTGATTTTTCATTTTCTCTTCAAACTTACCATTGCTTTATGTCTTTTCTAATAGACCTTTTCCAGTTTTATTTTAATTATGTGTTCACATACCTACATCCTTCAGAGTACTGTGAACTTATCAAGAGCAGGAACTGAAATGGTTACTCAGTAATATTGGTTTGTTTATTTGGGAATGACTCAGTCCACAGTATGGACATAAACAGCAGCAACAAAAATGCAAATTAAAGAAAATTGTGAAAACAAAGTAGAACAACACAAAATAAAGAAGGTAGGATGTATACCATAGTGACTCATTTTCAGTTAGGTTTATTCTTCTATCAAAGCTTTAAAGGTTACAGTTGTTTTAATAAAGGAGATGGAATTTCCAGGTGAGACAACAGAGCTGTGAGTTGGAAAACTCTGGTCTCAAATTAACATCTAGAAAGTAGATTAAATTTGTTTGTAATAGACTAGCTAAAGTTTAACTAGCTTTCTTATTACTGTAATTTCACATTTAAAGTGTGCATAATTAAAAACATTTGCTAGAAGAAAACAGCATTTGAGAGTGAACAAAAGCTTTGAACTGGTAAGTGATGTAAATCTGTAGCATTTTATTTTTAGAAATTAATGTCAATCTAATGCAACAAAAATATATATCCTTTGATATCTATATAAATCTACAAAATCTTTAACAAGAAAGACTGCCAGCTTCTTTTACCAATAGGAATGTACCTACAAATCATAGGAGTGTCCTGCAAAATTTTAAGCAGGACTTGGTCTCCGGCTCCAAGAGTAATCATTTAAATTCAATTAAAAAAATCATAGTACATGAAAATTTCAGAAAGCCATTCGTGAATAATACAGCCCTGGAATTTGCATTTGTCTTCCTCCAACTCCCCAAGCAGAGAGATGGTTAAAAATGAATTTTGTAGTTGAACTCTAGGAATGTCAGATCTCAGAAACAACAGACAAAGAAACTCTAATTAGCTGTGATGAATGTTGATTATAAGCGTGGATATAACAATGATTACAAAAGGAAAAAAAAAATGATGCATTGGTCCCGTGTATCAAGTATAGTTGTGTAATCAGAGAAATTTAATCACAGCAGGCAAATGTGATATATTTGTATTTATACAATTTTGTGGATTCACTGGCAGAATTGTCCTCAGAAAATACAAAAGCAATAAAAGCATTCCTATTTTATATGCTTTATCTCTAAGCCATTTAATTCTTGAAGGTCTTTTTTTTCTTGGTCATTTTTTTACCTCCTCCCCAAATCCCACAGAAAACTCATTTTTGTGGGATGTCACAGCAAAATACTCAGTACTATTACCTTATTAGAGTGTTCTTTTCAGTCTGTCCCTAGTTGATTAGGATTAATAGAAGACACATATGCTCTCAGGGAAAAATAAGCTGTTTTATCTGAAATGTTTGATTATAAGACGCGGCCCTTCATTTGAGTTTCTGAAAGGGAACAGGATAGAATAGCTATGTCTAAAGATGAAGCCATGAACAGCACTAGTGCTGTCAAGTTCTGTGACATTAGCCAGAGCTTTGCTGGCTCATGAATAAGTTCTCAAATATAAGAAGTCATGTGGTCAGCTGAACTCCCATAAAAGATCTAGTAACCTGTTAGGAGGTCATAGAGTTTATCTTGAACAAGAGTCTGGCTAGGAGCTTGCTGTCTTTTGATTTTCTGATGAAGTGATGGATGAGAAGAAGAGGTCACCCAGGCAGTACAAAGCCAAACCACGCCAAAGCAAAAAACCTCACAGAAACCTTAGCTGGCCCACATTATTCGCAGCAAGAGATTTCTGCTTTGCACTGATTACTCATAAAACCTTTTTCCCTGAGCAAAATTTATTTTTTGCTACTGTTGTTCTATAATTAGGTGTTTTTGCTGGAATTAGAAGCAAACGTGAAAAAACCGTTCTCACAATGCATTTGAAAATGGCATCTGAGTTATCATTGGTGAAGCTGAATTAAACTACATAATTTATCATTATGACTGTATACCTGTGTTTGCCCTGGAAACTCCACTTAAGTATAATAAAAAAGAGAAAAAACATGAATCATTAGACGGTTACACACACACACACTCCTTATACATTAGTACTTTGTATAGTTTCTTTAACATCTGTATATAATGATTTTTCTATATTCAACCTGATAGAATGCAAATATATTCATCCATATAATAATGTTACCTAAGATATTCAGAACTCCATCATCCTACAATTTAAACTGCAGAAAAGTTTCTCTTTGATAAAAAGTGAATCTTGGTACAAATATATTGTAAATGGGAAGAAAACATACCCAATTTTCACCTTCATGTACTAAAGAATCTCAATCTGATTTCTAATTCCTTTTTGTGAGCATATTCATAAAAGAAATTAGATATCATTCTTCCTCCCCAAGACACACAAATAAACCACATCTATTTGAATAAACTTTTGTACTTGACCTGGGAGTCCAAATGCCTGTTGGGACAAGGCAGTCAACAGAAATGAGTGAAGCAGGCACTAGATGCAAATGACCAGTCTACACCATGAGTGGTGGGCAAGAGTAAGATTGTCCACAAGAAGAAAGCTGGCCTAAGATTGTCAGATCTTCTGCTATGTTAAGAGAAGCTGTAAATTTTATATAAAATCTCTTTTTTTTAAAAAAACAGGACCTTGCTCTGTTGCCCAGCCTGGAGTGCAGTGGCACAATCATGGCTCACTGCAGCCTCATCTCCAGAGCTCAAGCAGTTCCCCCACCTCAGCCTCCTGAATAGGTGGGACTACAGAAGCACCACCACATCTGACTTTTTTTTTAAGTGAAGATAAGTTCTTGCTATGTTGCCCAGGCTGGACTTGAACTCCTGGCCTCAAGTAATCCTCCTGTCTCAGCCTCTCAAAGGGCTAGGATTACAGGCGTGAGCCACCACACCTGGCCCTGAAATCTCTAGATATAATTTGGATGTGTATACCCTCCAATTCTCATGTTGCAATGTGACCTCCAATGTTGGATATGGGCCTAGTGGGTGGTGTCTGGGTCATGAGGGTAGATCCATTATGAATGGCTTGGTGGCATCTCGTTGGTAATGAGTGAGTTCTTGCTCTGGCAGTTCATGTGAGAGCTGGTTGTTTAAAAGAATCTGGGATCCCTCCCTTCTCTCTCTTGCTCCTTCTCTCACCATGTGATATGCTTGCTCCCTTTGGCCTTCTGCAGTGATTGTAAGCTTCCTGAGGCTTTCACCAGAAACACACGCTGGCACCACGCTTCTTGTATCGCCTGCAGAGCTGTGAGCCAAAATAAACCTCTTCTTTATAAATTACCCAGCCTCAGGTATTCCTTTACAGCAACATAAAATGGACTAATATGTCTGCTAATTTTTAAATGTTGGCATAATTTATACGAACCAAACAAAGCATTCTTTGGGCTGATTTGGCACACAGGCTGATAGTTTGCAAACTGTTCTGTACTACGGCTGCTGTCTGTATTATCAAGTCCAGAGGGTAAACTTCAGTGACAGGCTATGGCCAGAAAGGGGCGACAGAGGGTCACAGAACCAAACCAGGCCTATTAGATTCATACTCCCAGCTGCCACTGGGAAAACCTGTCCTGGGTATGGGGCGCTCCCAATTAAATCAAGCCAAATCAATAAGTTGGAGGTTGCTGGATACGAGGCAACAAGTAGAGAGAAATTAGGGTGAGGGGGAGATGCCAAGGAAACCAGGTTGTTTCAGAGGACACTGGTGAGCTAAGGGGCCCAAAGAAAACTGTTTTTTCAAAGACGATCAGATATCAAATAATATTCACAAAGGGAGAAATGATGAAGTTTCAGGAACAGCACTGAGAATGAATGAGCTCTTACAATGTTTATGCAAAAGTCAAAATCTTCAAGCCACCTATCTTGGCTTCTTAAAATCACCAGAATGGGCCCCAGAAAAAAAGGGCCTAATAGAACATGTGCCTCTGTGAATAATTTAACTAGTGTCACAGCAAGTACATATTTTGCTAGCTGATAAATTAATAAAGGAACAAACAAGTTTTGTAGTTTAAGAGTTGGTATAAATTATTGTGCAGAAATGGCAACTGAAATGTACAAGAGTCTTCTATAGTAATCCATACTTACTTTACTGTTATCCCTTAGATGTTTAAACATGAAGATAAAAATCAAAGCTCTCAGTTTTATGTTAATGTTTTTCAATACTCTCACCTTTAGCTGCAGAAATATGGCATACATGAAAGAAAAATGGGGCAAAACCTACTATGCCACCTTCAGAACCAACCCATTACATGTGAAGAACATTCTTTCAATAACTTGAGAACCTTCTTGAACCCCAAGTTTCGCTGCCTTGACACTTTGAGAAGGCTGGAGATGATTGCTAGCCCAGAGAACAATGCTCAAAAGTAGGTTCAGCATGAGGTCATCAGGAGGATGTGTTGGGCTGGGTAACTGTATTTAACTTAGAAGATGAGCAAGGGCAAGAACACCACCATGACCACCTCCAAGGTAGAGAAAAATAACTTTGTTTCCTGAAATAATCTGTTATTTAAAGAGCGAATGAGAACTGGGTGTCTGGATTGGGAGGCAAGGCCTGGCCAATAAAAGCAGTAAACAGAAATTGTTACTCTGTCTAGAAAATAGCACCTAGATTTTAAACCAAACTACTTTGCAAAGCCTGAACTATACAGGGAGGAAGGAAACAAAATCAGATTCCCTATGGCCCTCCTTCAGCCAGCTTTAGTTCTCTTTCACAGTTCCAGCATAATATGGTTTTAAGAGTGAATAGTATTCAACACATGCTTTGCATAAGGACTCATGCTTTCTTTACCATAATCCTGGCAGACTTTAGGGTCTACATGTTTCAAAATGGAAAATGTAGCTCAGTGAAGTTGTCATTTGCTCATGGTCACTGAATTGGTAAGCAGAAATGGCAGAGCTGAAACCCAGTAATTCTTTAGATTCTTAGTGTAATGATATTTTAACTGCACTTACATTTTTTATGCTGTGTATGTATATATTCTTTCATGTTCTCCCAACTGTTTGTTATGTTCTTTATCCTGATCAGTCTGATTTCTCTGATCCTGCTGTCATGGGGTAATTGCTCCTCTCTCAGTCGAAGACACCTAATGATGCATCATTTGCTGATCATGATATTGCAGGCCAAGGTTACGATCAACTACTAAGGGGACTTGCTGGCTTGCTTCCCATAAAGTACAGGGCAGTGTGAACCCTGAGGATCTGAGACAGGTCTCAGTTAATTTAGAAACTTTATTTTGCCAAGGTTGAGGATGTGTGCCCGTGACTCAGCATCAGGAGATCCTGATGACTGACATATGCCCACGGTGGTCAGAGCACAGTTTGGTTTTATACATTTTAGGGAGACATGAGACATTAATCATCATATGTAAGATGAACATTAGTTCAGTCCAGAAAGGCAGGACAACTCCAAGCCAAGGTGGAACAACTAAAAGTGGGGAGGGGGCTTCCAGGTCATACATAGGTAAGAGACAAATAGTTGCATTCTTTTGAGTTTCTGATTAGCCTCTCCAAAGAGGCAATTAGCTATGCATTTATCTCAGTTAGCAGAGGTGTGACTCTGAATAGATCAGGAGGCAGGTTTACCCTAAGCAGTTCCCAGCTTGACTTTCCCTTTAGCTTAGTGATTTTGGGGCCCCAAGATTTATTTTCCTTTCACAAAAAATAGGAATAACAACACAAACAAATCCTCAAAATGAAGAAAGTAAATTGTGATACTGTCACAACAATAGAACTGGAGAAAAGCTGGGGGAGTCTAGCACTGAAGACCAGAAGAGATAAAAGCTGGAGTGTTCAAATTTGAAAGAAATCAGTGAATTTCAGAGAAAGGGAAACCGACATGCACATGATAAAAATTAATTTCCATTTCTTGTTTTATATGTCCCTAAAGTAGCATCAGGGAGGAGAAGCAATTTGGCAAATGTATCTTTTGTGTTTAAACATCAATTTGATTTGTTATAGATACTTGTCTTTCAAATATTACATTTTCCATAACTAGAAAAGACTAGAAAAATAAACTTTCTAAACTGTTTATAAGCTAAATTTTATTTTGACTTTTAAAACAGAAAATTTCAGTAAGAGTAAAGATCCATAATAAAAGGAAAAAATAGACACTGTTCTTAATCTTTCATTAACTAAGACCAGGATCTTTCATAAACATAATTAACTAGAATTGGCATATGATAGATCCAAATGTAAATGATCTTCAGTAAAAAGGAGCAAGTAACCAAGAGAAATGTGACTTAGAACATACACCTACACATATAAACACACACATATAGTATTAATATAGCAGGCTAAAAATAGGAGAAGACACTTGCTTTTTGGAAGCTTGGGAAGTGAAAAGTTCCTTTCACCTTTCACCTGCAGCCTCATCTCCCACATGATAGCCACTATGGATCACGATCCATTGTCTGGTGCCCAAAAGCTAAAAGCCAACTAATTACTGCTGATGGTTGAAGAATTCTATTTGGGCAAAGGAAAGTAGTTGGATTGAGATCATTATCCAGTAGCTCACAACTCTTTAAACTGCTGGTCAACCTGCATGTCTTTGAAACTAAACATCTAAAGCCTTTTATAATTGCAGAGAAAGTTTTGGTATAAAATTCAGCTCCTGCTATGTAGGCAGATTAGTTCACTTCTGCATACATGCTAAGTGCCCATCCTTCCAATCTTCTTCCTCCAGCCCATCTCTTTCTAATACCCATTGACACTGTAAATTCCATTCCTGCTGGAGACAGCTGTGGCTATAAAACTTGACTCATGAAAATATTAGTGAACATTTCTATTTTATCTCTGTGCTTTTCTTCCAGTTTCTTTATGCAAACCAAGAACTGGCTGCTTCCTGCCTTTAAAAAGGGAAACCAAAGAATCTCCCCATTTACCTCTCTTATGGCCCTTGTGAAATATCTGTCACTTGGGAAAGTAAACACATTTACAAAATTTATCATAGGAAATCGAACCATTTGCTGAATCCCAAAATATAAGATATGCCTAAATATTTAATAGTGAATTATCTAGGCTTAGAAGTTAACTGGTTAGGGAATGGACTTTTTAGGATCTCTACTCAGCAATTTGAATTTTTCCCCAAAGTCACTAATTTAATTATTGAAACATACTCATCTTCATTGTGTATAACTCTTGTAGTGAATTGCTCATGTCTTTTCTAAAAACTGGAAATAATGTTGCTTCTTCCTCTGGCAACTTTTTAAAAATTATTTTTCTGTTTCCTGCCTCAGGCTTCATTCCTTATACCCATTACATCTATTTATATCCCCAGTAACTTCCTTTTCAAAGTCCCCTCATGTTGACAGCTATTTCCATACTTTTAAAAATACATTCTTCAAGTTACCAAGTCTCCTTATTGTGAGCCTAATGGCCTTTTCTTCACTGTAATTTACTTTGAATCACGCCAGGTGAAAAAGAAGGCTTCTGAGTTGATGCCAGATTCTTCACATGATACAAATGCTGTCTCTTTGTCTGTATGTTTTCATTCCGCCAAGCCCATTTTTTTCTTGGTTTCCAGACTAATTGTCCTTAAAAGGCATTTGCATCTTATTATTCTCTTGCTCTGTCGATAGCTCTCCCTCTATTATTGCATCAAATCTAAACTCCTTTGCTTGCCTTGCATGGTACTCCAACAGTTTGTGCACAAAGTTACTTGTTGATTGCCAAATTTAAGCAAGATTAACCTGGCAGCTTGCGTGCTGCAGCCATTTCTCATGAAGAATGAGAATATATAAAATATTAAAAGAGATGAAAAATGCCTTATTATATTTCAGTTGTGTTCATTTTTAAACTCAAATTTCAGGTTATCATACATTAGAATTTCAGTCCTGATAAAATACATTACTTAAAGGGGGAGAAAAGGCTTATGGTAGCTGAAAAGTTCATCGCCTCATTTTGCTAAGTTATTTATTATAGGTTTCCCCAGTTGCCTTATTTTTAGAAAAGATTTGTTGGCTAAGAGTGATCAGATGCAAAGCTCAAAACTACGTATACATAAGTTATATGTTATCACATATAACATAGGGAAATGGTTACCATTATGAACTCAATTTATTTGTTAATATTTCATTAATTTCACGTTAGTATTTCTTCCTCAAAGCCTAACCCACAGAGAATTTCATTACCACTACCATTCAGATATCAAATCTCTTTCTAAAACAAAGTAAAGAAAAATCTTTTATAAAAATGGATCTTTAGTTTTATAGACAAAAGAAACTGTGAAAAAGAAGATTAAATCTTCATCAGTTTAACTCACAAAGCAAACGCATAGGGAAATAGCATTATTCAACATTTAAATTGTTTTAAATCAGTCTTGGGAGTTTTTTAGTCTATCCAAGGTAAAGGAATTCTATACCCAGTTATGCTAAATTCCTAAATAGTAGATTCAAGTAAATCCTCCATTGAAAGAAATAAATCACTTCTGTGCTGAGGAAGCTCTATTAAGATACAATCTGAAAGATCTATCGAGACCTGAAGTGAAATACATACATTTTTAAAAGGATAAACATAGGGGGAAATGTCTCTAATGCTTTGTAGTGAATATATCCACCCAAATGTTCCAGAGCTCCCTGATTTATTCTCAAGTAACAACCTTGGCTCTTTAAACATTGTTTATGATGGTCAAATGAGAACATATACAGAGTTTCAATACAAGCTATCTGCCTAGTAGACTTCCTTTTGAGAGTAAAACACTCTTAAAGCATCATTTACTTTCACAAACAGCATATGCACACCATGTGGCACCCATTCTTGTTAACACCAAAGTAGCAGTTTGAGCTTAACAGCTTGGGAGCTCTGTTTATAATAATAGTAATACTCGGTGTCAAGTCCTCAGAGTTTCAGATGTCAAAGGTGATCATGAACATAAATGCAAATTCCCCAAATCTGCTCTCCTGGGAAAACGATTCTTGCCAAGGCCAAAGAAGTCAGTAGACATACAAATACTTGGTCTCCAGCTTCTAATAAGCCCAGGAATTGTCTTTCCAATTTCACTGCATCACCTTCATCTGGTTCTAATGTATACACATGTCTAGTGAATTAGTTCCCCTTGGGGGAAAATTTTGTTGTCTCAAGAGCTTGAGATTTTCAATGAAGTGCCAATGATCTGATACAAATTGTTGAATTTTTTATTATAACTGTTCCCTTCTTTTTATACGAGCCTGTTTACTTTTTGAGCACCCTGAAACCTTCTAGCATTTCAGAATAATGTTTAAAACATTGCATTATTAAGAAACTTTAAAATTACAGCTGTGAAAACAGACCTATGTCATTATAATCAGTGAGAAAGTCCCTTAACTGGGATTTCAGAATATAAAAGGAGCACCTGCAGAGAATTGGCAGGGTGAGAACCAAAGAGAAAAGAGAGAAAGAAACAGGAAAAAAAATTCATCAAGCAAAGAGAATGGGGTGTTTCTATTCTTGACAATCCATTTGAAAAAATGAAAGTGAGTCAGTATTTGAGAAGAAAACTTATTTTATGGGGGAGGGAGGGTATAGTTACTTACTGCATTAGCTTACACAATCATTTACTATATCTATTAAATCACTTATACTTTTCCATTTTAAATAGCTATTAATCTATCTGTTTTACCTATAGACTGTGAGCTCTTCTAGTGTCACAGCGTGTGTGCATCTGACAAACCAGCACCTAGTATATAGTAGATATTCAGTATTTGTAGTTGAATAAATGATAGAGACTAGAAATAATATGGAAAACATATTTTTATCAGACTAAGATACAGAAGTAGGAAAATGTTCAGCGAAGGAAAAATATTCTTCCATATAAGCATTGCATTAATGGAAAAAAGTGTTCAATATGCATTTACATGCTCTGCTAAAACAACCACAAAGAATTAGCAAATTCTGTAACACTCATTTGGGGAACCCTCATGTCTCAGGATAGCCTGTGTGTGTCCCACAGTGTGCAGTTTTTCACTGGTCATTGAATTCCCTGGGTTTTAGGAGTAAAGGAGGCAGATAATAGTATTACTGTTTCTGTGATTTGGTTTTGTAGAATGTTGTCCTGATAAGTGAGGAAGATGAGACAGGCAAAAGTCCTCCTGAAAGCATAGTTCAGATAAGTCCAACTTATCAGGAGAGAGATTTCAAAAAGGAGTTGTTGGACTGACGGACAGAGCAAGTAGTGTCCAATTTCAGTTGAGGCCCAAGCATGACCTCTTATGTCTCTTTGCCTGTCCTGGTTTGTCAAACTTCCCAGTCCTCTCAGAGTTGATAAGGCATCTTCTTCGGTTTCCTCGAGGTGTATAAACGATGGCTGCTCCTCTTACATTCTTCCATGTCTTCCACCATGAAAAACATGACCTCTTTTTAGTTTGTTCCCATTATAACATGGTCATTTATTTTCTTTTCCTTTCCTTTTAATCCAAACTTTTTTGGCTTAAACTTCTCTACTTGCCCATCAACATTTTACTTTTCTACCCACTGGGCTCTGGCTTCCAATGACCTCCTAATTGCCAGATCTATGGACACTTTTAGTACTCATTGTAATGATGTCTCTGTTGCATTTGATACTGTTGATTCCTGCTTCAATCATTATACAAAAACGCTGACAATAACAGGCTAATTATGAGCATTCATATAAGTGCTTAGGAGAACTTTTTAAAAATAGTATGGGTTCTACAAAATGTTCAATATTATTATTATTTTATTCAGTTATCTTTGGTATTCCTTTGTGTCCATCCTTTTGATTGCAGGTGTCCCTCATCTAGTGTCCTCATCACCCACACACTCTTGCTGGATAATTTTATCAGTCTTTTGATTTCAAGAACTATTGTGTTATTACTACCATATATATATATATCTTTAGCCCAGTGCTCTGCTAATCTTTATATTTATATATCTAACTTCCTGCTGTAAATCCCCATCTCGACTGGCAAATGTCTCCTGGGGGTACAGTCGTTCCTTGTTGGAAACCACTAGTTAACTCATACTTGGTTATTTGTATCTTTCCTCAGGTGACTATAGACGTCCTGTGAGCCAACACAATGTCTTCTTCATTCCTATGTTCCTCAGACACAGCACAGAGCCACACGAACGGAAGCATAAAAACAACTTACAATTCTCAATTTAGAAGATCTTACTTTAATGGGAGCTCATATTTATACTCCTCCCAAGACACACACACAATAGTCTCTGTACATACCGTTAAATTTAGTCCTTTTTTCTTTTTCAAAAAGGAAGCATCTGGAATGCTTCAATAACGAAAAAAGTACATGGTAAGTGGATGGTGACTGAAATTTTGAGATAAGGGCATACCGTTAAATTTAGAAATCAGATGAAACTTTCCTTCAGAAAAGATCTGAATAATAATATACTCTATTAAAGGAATGATTTGATGTTTTTAAAAATAATCCAGGGAAACAGAAACTTCTAAAAATTTCACAGCAGCCTAAGACTTGAAAAAAATAATAAAGTGCTAAGGCTGATATGTCTGAAGCCATCATATCTATAGCTCCATGTTACAATGGTAAATGTGCCACAGAAACAAATTTGTCTTGGGAATTTTCACAGCAAAAAATATCACAGTCTGGTGACAGTGAAATGGGAAAGGTTCCCTTGTCCCCCTGGCAGGGCGTGCGATGGGGGAGTGGCTTGCTTCTTCAGTGCCAGGCTGCTCAAACCTCTAGGGAAGCATACATACGGGCAGGTCATGGGGCTTCCACCCCACAGCAGTGTCTAGGAGTGAATGTTTGCAGCTGAAGCCCCAGTGGGCGTGTGTTACAGGGTGCTCTTTTAGTTGGCCATCTATAGGCAGCTTGTGTTAACCAGCTCAATTAGAACCCCTTCCTTATCACAAGGACAGAGGGATTCTGTATCCCGGAGTTTCTTGCCTTGGTTTACCAGAAGAATTGGATCACACATAGGCTTGGAGAATGAGTGCAAAGTTTTATTGAGTGGAAGTAGCTCTCAGCCTGATGGGGAGCCAGAAGGGAGGGGATCTTCACCTGGAGTTGGGCCACTCGGCAGCCCCAGCTCTCCTGGCCAAACTCTGCCTCTTCCAGCACCTTGATGGCCTGGCAGAGTGCCTGTGTTGGTTGGTCAGTGTGCTCTTCTGTCTATGTGCTCCCCTCAACATCCTCTCAATGTCCAGCCGCTTGTCTTCTTCCGCCAATGTGTCCCTCTCACAGTCCAGCAGCTTCTGTCTGCCTTGCTAGGGTCTCAGGTTTTTATAGGCACAGGAGGGGGGCTTGGCGGGTCAGGGTGCTCTGGGAAAATGCAACATTTGGGTTGGAAGGCAGAAGTGCCTGTCTTCACCTAGGCCCATGGGGTTGGAGCCCTAACCAGGGACCACGTCCTCCTCTCCCCAGCACTTCCCTTCCAGCCTTCCATATTATTTAAAGGGACCATGCTCTTCCCTTCCCAGCACTCCAACAGTAGATGGAGTTATAGATCACACCCTCACAAATCTGAGACATAGTTGAGGGGGTGTGGCATGTGTAATACACATTAGCTGGGGCCTTCAAATCTTTTCATGCTTCAAAAACCAGACCAAATCGGCAAATTGCAGAACACATTTAAGTTGTCCTCCTAAGCCACACCCCAGCTGATTGTGAAAGACAAAGGATCTAACTGAAAGCAGATCTTCAAAACAAGGTGATAGAATGGAAATGAGGACCAATACTAAAATAATTTGATGTCAGAATTAAAACATTTATCTTTATGGTGTGAAGCTATTTAAATGGAATATAATTTACTAAGAACACCATCAATTAAAAGATAAAAAGTCTAGAGTCTTAGAACCTCTAGGTTCCAAATGTGATATATTACTAACCTCTGACTTAATAGCCTTATAATTTTGGTTCTTCTCGAACATCTTTCATGATTCTTTCCCTTGCCTCATCCACCCCTTGCCAAAAAACCTTGGTCATACTCCCTTCTTTCTTTTATAAACTTTTCCCTTCTTCCTTTGAGTTCTTTATTTAACAAATATTTATATTCTGAACAACAGGTCATATACTTCACAGGCATTCTAAGAGTCATTAATGGCCTTGACTTCAAGGAATTAATAATGCATTGTTGGAAAAAATAAAGTACAAAATAATCATCAAACCAGGAAGAATGTGAAAGTAGTGTAAAAGGGAAAAATGTGTCCTCTCAGAGGAGGACACCAGGATTCTTAACAAGGAAGGAATCTTAGCTGAGGTGATATATTACAAGTAAAATCTGGATTGGGATAATTCAGGAAAAATGAATCAATCATTTTTTAACTTATGTGAAAGTATAAAATGCAGTGCTTGACTCATGGTATGCATTCAACAAACATGTATTTTTATTTTCTTTCTTTAGGAGTTTTATGGGCTAAATTTTTTCCTCCAAAATTCACATTTTGAAGTCCTAACCCCAGTATTTTAGAACATGACTGTATTTAGAAATACGGCCTTTAAAGAGATAATTAAAACAAAATTAGATGATATGGGTGGGTCCTAACCCAATTTCACTGGTATCCTTATGAGAAAGGGAGAATATGACACAGACAGACAGACAGAGAGGGAGGAACCTATGAAGACACTGACAGAGATGACCATCTATGGGCCAAGGAGAGAGGCCCTTGGAAGAAATCAATCCTCCCAGCAGTTTGATCTTGGACTTCTAGCCTCCAGATCATAAGGAAATAAATTTCTGTTGTTTAAGACACTCCATCTGTGTTAGTTTGTTACGGCACCTCTAGCTCACTAATCCAAGTGAATATAGGCCTAGGAAGGTAACTGGGATCTCTATTAAGAAGCTGGCATTTGGGGACTGGATTTGTTAGTTAATAGGAAGTCAAATGAGATTTTTGAGCCAAAAAAGTCCCAATGACCTAGGTTTAAATGGAAAGATTTGGCTTTTCAGTTTGGAGTGTAATGGTGTGGGAGACAGATTTGGAAGATCACTTTGGAGAGTATTGGATCATTGGATCAGCCTTAGTGCAAAATAGCAGGGACTCAAACTGACTCATTAACAGTGAAAAAGGGATTGAAGTGAAGAGCATTTAACTTGGAAACTGATTATATAATGGAGATCCAGAGAAGTAGAAAGTTCAATGGTACCAAGCGTTTAGGATGGTGGAAACATTAATAGTTAATAAGGATGTTAATATAATTTTCAAAAAGTTAAAAACATGACTCTCCTGCAAATTGAATATGTTAAAGATTTTATTCAACTTATTAACAAACCAGTAAAACACACACACACACACACACACACACACACACACACACACACACACACATAGATAATCAGGAATCCTGAAATAATTTCCTAATATATGCCAAGCTGATTCATATCATGTAAAAGGCAATACAGTGATTTGGATCATCTTTTCCATAGAGGAGAAATCAATTCTGTCTCAATGGGACAAAAGAGGAATCATTTGCATGGCTATCAGTTTTCTAACAACTTAACTTCTAAGCTTTCAGAAATGCTTAGCGCTCCACTGAAAGGATAGACACCCTATAATCTTTTTCACCCATTTCCAATCTTGGACTATTTTTTCTGACAATAAAATACAAGGGAAGTTATTTTTCATTTTAGATATGTTAAATATGCAGTGCCAAAGAAACACTCGGGAGAAAGTCCAGCATGCAATTGGAAATTCAAGGCTGCTCATCAGTGGAGTAGCAAGTCTGAAAACATTTGTCAACTCTGCTTGATCTTTCCACATACCTCATCGGTGAGTTCAGAAAATTGAGACAAAATAATAGGTTGAAATTTGAGGCAACTGTTCAGGACTCTTTACCTTTTCCTCCTCCTTGCTTGTTAACAGTCTGCTTTACTGTGATCCCTGTGTCTAACAGAACTTAAAATCTTAGTTTTGTGTTCTTGACCTGGATTCTCTCTTTTGGCTCCTTGTTCAGCTCCTTTCTGGTAGCTGAACCTCACCTTTTCTCTTTTCCTAGGCTGGCCCCTTGGGCCCAGATTTCAACTGATACTTCTGGCAGAAAATGCTTGTACCAGTCTACGCCTAACAATAAAGAACCCAGTTCCCAACTTCGACATTTGGCTGGTGCTCCGGTGACGCCTGTCCCAAAAGAGAAAAGCCAAAGAAGTAAATCTGAGTTACCTGAACAGAAATTAAAATTTCCCACATAAATAAATCTCATGATTTCCAATTTTCTCTCTTGACTTTAATTTCTGTGGCTCACTGGCATTGAGTCTTTTTTTTTTTCTTTACTATCTGCATCCTGAGTATTTCCCATATGATTTGTAAATGGCTCTAGTAACCTCTAAGTAAACAAAGTGTTCATTCATTCAGCCATTCTTTCACTCATTTATTCACTCATCAAAAATTATGAAGTGCCTTGTATGTGCTAAACATTGTGTTAGGTGCCAGAAGATATATAGATAAATAGAATATATCCTTGTCATCCGAAAAGATAACAATTGAGGGCTATATCGCAATGAACACTTGACCTTTTCTAGTGCATTCCAGGTTTGCACATGTCCGCTCAGAGGCCCTGGACATAAAGGAGCCATCTGTCAAAACAGACTAGACTGTAACCTTGAAGAGCTGGGAAACAGAGCTGAAACTCAGGAGTTCTCCTCAAGTCAAATCCAACCATTACCTTCTGGATTTTGACAAAGTTATAAAGAAACTTTTGTCTAGTAATAAATATTATCCCACAGTCTTACCTCAAATATCTCAGTTTCTACAAGGGAGTGAAGATGGTGAATTAACTGACCTGTAAGCTACTATTTTAGCCCTAAAATTATTCGCTTGCATTGAGATACGAACTTAAATATTACATTCAAAGAAAAATATCAATAGCTTTTGTTTCTCAGAAATGTTGTTGATTTACCAATTCTCTAAAGTGTTCAACTCAAATCTCTTATTTAATAATTTCAAAGCACCTTTAACAAAAATATGTTTATTCTTATTTTACAGAATTTTATTTTATCAAAGATGTGGCAAGCAACATCACAAAATTAACCAGGAAATCAAAGACAAAAAACCAGGAAAAGAGACAAAAGCATAAATGATTCTTCATATTTGATATAAGTTCATTGAAGAAATATAAATTTCTTTTCAATGAAGATAATTGGTGTGTTTCAAATAATATAAAAAAAATTGAAAGCCAGGGTCTCACACTAGTTAGATAGTATTCTGTAGAGAGATAGTATTCTTAAAGAACTAGACTGTTAACTATTGCTCACAAAATTTAAACTTTGGGAGCTCAAAGGCAGTAGAAATGCCCAATAGCTCCTTCATAGTAGACACTTATTTCTTCCAGAGTGTTTCCAATTCAAATATCTTGATGACCAAATTATATTCAAGAAAACCGGGTGACAGCTTCATTTGGAGCATCTCTGCTTCATCTGAGGCTGCTAGAGTAATGGTAGAGCACAGCCTACTGGTGTGCCCCTCTACCACACCACCCTCCCCTCCCTGAAAGAAACATACACACAATATATAACATATGTAAACATTTAACATTAAGTATTATATAATATAAAATATTTAATATATTATATATAAATATATAGTTTATATATACTTTATATTTTATATAAACAATATATTTACTATATATCTTATATATAATGTGGCTTTTGGTTGTTGTACATTTGGGGGCAAGCCAACAAAGGATTTTAGAAAAACAAATTTCTCACCATGGTAAAAAAAAATAGATTAAAAAAATCACCACTAAAACAAAAACACCTTGTTTTGTAACGAACTCTAATATAAAATGCTTTGGGCAGTAGACTCAAAAGTGGAAGAAAACCAAAATGTCCACATTTATTTGGAACAATATCCTTCTGCTTCTTTTTCTATAGGTATCTTTTAACCCTTAAATAGTTACTTATTTTTATAGATGTAATAACATCATATCATCATGGAAACACCACATTTTCAGAATTTTATTTTTTAATGATGTCCAAGTAATGGAGTTACATGGATGTCATTCTGTCCCTTAGCATGCTTGAAGACCTAGTAGGTAGCTTTAAAAAACATACATATATAATGGGGGCAGGGGACACATTTTCAAAATGTACCAAGGTCATTAATGCACCAAATGTAAATGGTCTCCCATTTATCAAATGCCCCAGAGAAATCAGGGGATAATTGAAATGATAGATGAAGAGATGAAATTCTAGGCTAATGGGTTGTATATCAATGAATCAATGTCAGATTTTTGAAAGCTTTTGGAAAATGATTCCTATTCTTTGCTTATTTTTAAAGTTTTAAAGCCTAGGAAGACAAGTAATAGGAGAACTGAAAAGCAATTAAAAAGAGATCCCATCGATCTATCAGAAATATTTCTACTATGATTTTTCTCAGAGTGATTTGCATTTCCCTACATTAATTTTAACAGAATTTATCATTATCTCTACCTTTTTGTGTAATACTTGTGCCGCCTTTCTTTCTCTTTTTGTGTAATCATCAGTTTATAAAATTACCTCACCTGGAGATCAATTCTCCTACTTCTTCCTTCTGACAAAGTTAAAGGAATTTTATGTTAACCATCATTCTAAGCAAACTATCACAAGGACAGAAAACCAAACACTGTATGTTCTCACTCATAGGTGGGCATTGAACAATGAGAACACATGGACACAGGGCGGGGAACATCACACACCGGGGCCTGTCGGGGTGTGGGGGGCTGGGGAAGGGATAGCATTAGGAGAAATACCTAATGTAAATGACCAGTTGATGAGTGCAACAAACCAACATGGCACATGTATACCTGTGTAACAAACCTGCACGTTGTGCACGTGTACCCTAGAACTTAAAGTATAATTTAAAAAAAAAAGAAATAAATAATTTAAAAAAGCTTGGTGAGGAAAACATTTTAAAATAAAATATTTTTTCAATTTGATTAAAAATGGAAACAATTTTATCGACCGTAAAAATCATGGAGACGTATTTAGGGTGGCTTAAAGTTAAACTTCCCAAGAAAAAATGAGACAAATAAGAGCTGAGCATGGTGGCATGCACCTGTAATCACCAGCCCCTCAGGAGCTGGAGGATCACCTTGAGCCCCAGAGTTCAAGTTCAGTCTGGGCAAGGTAGAGAAAACTCTATCTAAAATGAGAAAGAGAGAGGGAGAGAGAGAGAAAATAAGTGGAAACTTACTTTATAGAGCAGGTTATTTACGGTTAAATCAGGCATATGTTCTGTAGAAAACAAATGATGCTCAGAAACAAACGATCTCTGCTCCCAAAAGTGACAAAACAAACAAACAAACAAAACACTAAGATGAAAATCCAAATATTAGATAAGGGCAGATGTGTTAAAATACAAATGTAGGTGAAGCCATTAGCGGGTTTAAGGAAGCCTGCTGGAGATCAATTCTCCTACTTCTTCCTTCTGACAAAGTTAAAGGAATTTTATGTTAACCATCATTCTAAGCAAACTTTCACAAGGACAGAAAACCAAACACCGCATGTTCTCACTCATAGGTGGGAATGGAACAATGAGAACACATGGACGCAGGGCGGGGAGCATCACACACCAGGGCCTGTCAGTGAGTGTATCTTCCTAGGGCAAGTGGAGTTTTCTGTCCATGGAACAAATGTGTGTTTTGACACCTTTAATGAACAATTTAAAAAGGTGCCTATGGTAAGTGGTGTTTCCTCCAAGTCAGGCCCAGATTTTGGGGCTCAGCATGGCTATTAGAGCTGCTCAGGAACTTAAAGAGAAGCACTGATAGGTGGCTGTGGGCACAAGCCATCAGCCTTAGAGGAGGGATTCAGAGGAGGCCAGCAGTCCTAGGACAAGGTCACTATCTTGACAGCTGTTTCTACCAGGAGCAACATGAAAATGATCTTGTTAATCATTTCAATAGGCCAATGGAAATTGCCTCTCTTAGGACTTGTGCCGGGAAGCATGAGCAACCAAAGTCAGCTGAAAGGTCAGTCCGAGGATCCTGGGACTCACAAAAAAAGGGACAGCAAGAAATTCCTGGAAGAACTCTCTCAAAATTAAAAACATTTGGATTCTAAGCTCTGAACAATACTTGGGAATCTGAAATCCTGGGCACAACTCCCCAAATAAATTCTCTGAAATAACTTTAGCTTCTTCTATGCATTCCAGTTGTTAAAATATTGATATATTTTTATACTGACTGGAAAATAGTCTCTGTCCTGAGATCCCTGAGTAGCACCCACCTTCAGGGCTGCTCTCACCCGCTGTCCAGGACTTCCCAGACCTCTCCCAGTCCACCTTTGGCATGTTAATGCCTAGTAGCAGACAACCTTGAAGACACTGGCAGCTCTGGCACCTACTCTGAATTTGTGGATTTTCTGTGCTGTATGGGATATTAAATACTTTTAATATCACTTATGCGTAAATCTAACACTTAAAATGAAACACTGTTCTTTTTTTTTCCATTCCATCTTCACCATAACAGTCCTTCCTTTCATACTAGTTTTCCATACACTTCACAAAAATATAAGCTTTCCTCACCCCCCACCATCACCCTTATCTATAATGCTAACAAAATGGAATATTAACATTACTGTTTGGCATTGAATTCAAAGCTTCAATTATTGTTTCCAATTCCAGTGGCCCTTTCTGAGATTGGCACAGCATGAGATAAAGGGAATATGAGATGTGACTATAACGTGATGAAACTGATTGTCACATGTGGCTTGTGGGATTTCTCAGATTACTTTTTAGTCATGTTTTGTATTAGTCAGTGGGTAAAAACTAGCTTTCTGGGCAAAAAGATTTCCTACATCCCCCAAATAAAATATACATTCTCTTTGTCACATTCGTGAGGGCTCTTTCCATAGGAAAATTTAGTATCTCTAGAGAACTCCAGAGCCTTACTCGTCATTTTTTCTTTTGCACTGTTAATCCACCACTATCTTAAAATATTTTGCTCTAAGAGCAGGATATTTTACCTGGCATAATAGAATACTATCAATGTCTCTAGTGGTCAGCAAATACAAAATGACAAAAATAGCAGAATCACACTAAATACAGTTTTTATGAGGGCAGAATTTTTAAAGGCCAAACAAATTATACTGAGTGCCTTGTTCCTGTGGCCATCAGTTGATCCGTAACTCCAGACAGTGGCCATGAAGTACATTAAGAACAAGGCAAAAAACCCA
The DNA here is from genome assembly GCF_000001405.40 of Homo sapiens. Classification (NCBI taxonomy): domain Eukaryota; kingdom Metazoa; phylum Chordata; class Mammalia; order Primates; family Hominidae; genus Homo; species Homo sapiens. The sequence continues at coordinate 168,604,492 of NC_000003.12, read as the reverse complement.
ACAAGAGATTCTGCATGGATACTTCAACATAACCATTTACCCCAAGGTTTTTTTATTGGGATGCACTTTTTGCCTTTCTTCTGCTTAGCTTAGAAATGAATGGTATAGTGTTTTGGGGTGTGTTTGAGAGGATGCTGAGTGCTTCCTGAAAGTTTATCACAAAATTTTGTTAATGGCACAGACAAAGGAAGACAGGAGGTTTGTGTTTGAGTTTCACTTTACTGTTTGAACAAAAACCCAGTATCCTAAGAAAGTAAAATCTGGTGTTTTTATGCTGTTGATCCAACCTCTTCAAAGTAATTTCCCCTAATGCAAATTGTCCATGTATAGTTAGAAATTAGAATCAAGGTAAGAACTACTGCAGGCAGCTACTTAATCCTGGTGTGTTTATGTAGATATATACTATATCCACATGAAGAAAATTAGGTGATCTTCATAATGATGTGTTAGAGATATTTCAAATATTTTTCCTCTGATTTACATAGAAAAAATAACATTTGAGCATAAAACACTATATATTTTTTGTCTTACCAATATGAGGTCATACTGTACCTTCTCTTTTATGAACTACTTTATGTTTTAACTTAATAATATTCTATGAATATTTTCAGGTTATTGACATTCTAAAATCAGTTTTAATAATTGTTATGTAATGCTTGGTTTTTAGAGAGAGTTTCCTCTTTATGAAGCTTAGTTTATTTTTACACTATTACCAATAATATTACTATTAACATCCTTCTAGTTATTTAATAAATATTTGTGCTAATAATTCATGCCTATAGTATGACTCCATAATGTTGCTGAAAACTATCTTGCACAACTGAAGCTACCCTGTCATTTGTACGGCAGTCTAAAGTTTCTGTCTACAAAGGAGACATTGAAAGCATATTCTGAAATTGGTACAATAGTGATTTTAATGTTTTTCTCTACTTGGAGAGTTATTTCAAAATATCTGCCATGTATACCCTGAATTAGACATGAATATCACAATATTTTGCATTTTTAAGAAGTATTTTGATTTTTAGATTTCAAACTGGTTCTTTTGACGAGAGAGAGTGTAGTGTACTCTCTGTAAAATTTAAATCCTGGATAGTACAACACAAATCACAGGGGATGATCAATTATTCAATAAATTTTATTTTAATAAATATTTAGTAATTTGAGGGAAAACCCATTTAGAGCCTCACCTCACATCATTTACCAAAACAGATTTGGCTGGACTATACTTAAATATTTTTTTAAAACAAACTATTGAAAAACTGAAGTTGGATATTCATCAAATCTCTGAAGAGAAGAAGAGTTTTTATAATTACTGTAGAAGAGAAAAATCACAAAGAGGACAAGCAATGACACTGTGCTCATAAATTGTTTTTTAAGCTTTTGCATGTTATAAAAACATAGATAAAATGAAAGAATGAACTGTAATGTTTGAAAATATGTAAAAATAACAGATTGCCATCCTTGTTAAAGAGAACACAATTATTAATGGGAGAATAACTAAGAACAATCTAGAAAGGGGTAATTTAAATCCATAAAAGTTGGCAATTTCCAACTAGTCAATATTTTAAAAACATCATCCTTATTAGAAATCAAACAAAAGCAAATTAATACTATGATTGTGTAGCATGTTTTTACCCTATAAAATGTGAGTTAATTTAAAATATAAGTTAAGGGACAATGAAGCCAGCTTTTTTTTGTCAGGTATCGCTAATAGAGGTAAAATATGTATCTAGGCCAGGCTTGGTGGCTCATGCCTGCAATCCCAGCACTTTGAGAGGCCAAGGTGGGCGGATCATGAGGTCAGGAGATCGAGACCATCCTGGCTAATATGGTGAAACCCCATATCTACTAAAAATACAAAAAATTAGCCAGGCGTGGTGGCGGGCACCTGTAGTCCCAGCTACATGGGAGGCTGAGGCAGGAGAATGGCGTGAACCTGGGAGGCGGAGCTTGCAGTTAGCCGAGATTGTGCCACTGCACTGCAGCCTGGGCAACAGAGGGAGACTCTGTCTCAGAAAAAAAAAAAAAAAAAAAAAAGTGTCTAATGTATTGGAAAGAAATATGTCAATATGAATCAAATGCTGTAAGAAACATACATACCATCTATTAATTGAAAAATTAATAACAACACAAATAGCTTGCTTTTAGTTTAAGTTTGAGGTAGCAGACACTATACATAGGCATCATTGACTCCATCATATGCCAATGTCAAACTATTCACAAGAATTTTTACTGTTAAGGCCAAAAAATGATACCAGATCCTATCTCAGCACAACATTCAGGAAAGCCACATCCAATCCATCAATATTGTATAAACTTGCGTACACTAATGTTGAATGATGTTTCAGAAACTATGAAATCTCACACATATGCATGTATATGAATATAAAATCACATTACATGAAAACAAACATGTTTCTGTATTTGTCTAGAAAAGTGTGCCTAGCACACAGCATATAGCACTCACACAATAAGTACTTGTTGTGTGAGTGAAATATAAATATATAACAATATATAGAACTCCCCTCACCCAAAAAAAAAGAGTCAGGAAAGAAATGCAACAAAATGTCAATGCGTTTGTTTTCTGGGATTATGGGTAACTATTTTTCATGTTCCTAATGTCCTTACATATATATTTTTTACTTAAATGGATTTAAGTAAAATTATGATTACAATAAATATATATTTTAGACTCTGTCCTACCACAGTTTGAACACTTCCAGGTTGTTCTATTTAACACTGTGGTTAGTTCTAATCCTGAGAATGCTCCTTACGGAAGCATAGGAAAGGTCATTTTATGACATTATTTAGGAGGGAGGAAAAAAGCAAAGATTTCTGGAAGGAACTCATGGAAGAGATGGTGCTTAAGAGATGGATTTACACAATATTCTCCTAATAGTTGTACTGATATGCAATGACCTACCTAGAACACTTAAGCATCAAAGCCCAGAGATGGAAATGCATCAACATCTGGGATCAATGACAGATTTGCTGAAGTTTGTCCAGTATATTTGGTGGAAATCCAGATTGAGAAGGCTCCACTAAATTTGATGAGTGCATGAGAAACCATCGGGAGCATCTGAGCTGGGGAGCTGCATGAGCTCAATGCCAATGCGTTTGATAGTATTCTCACCTCCACTCAGAAGTTGCCTTCAGGTTGCTCTTTGAAGGGCTTTAAACGATAATTGACTTCTATTTTATTCCATTGGTACTCCTCTCTTTGCCATGTAACAACCTGGTTATTCTGAACTGATATGTCAATAAGTTTCCCCTTTCACATAACAAGCACATTTTCATGAAGGCCTTCTGGGAATAATATCTAACTCAAGAAGAACAGAGGGATTTTATGTGCTAGCTTTGATGGATTGGATGTGGCTTTCCTAAACGTTGTGCTGAGACAGGATCTGGTATCATTTTTAGTCTTAACAGTAAAAATTCTGTGAATAGTTTGACATTGGCATAGGATGGAGTCAATGATAGCATATGCATAGTGTCTGCCATCCCAACCTTAACCCAAAAACAAGACAATTACTGCAGACAACAGAGGAGAAACACCACACACAACAAATCACATCATGTATGTAACTGACAGTGGGCTGGTAACACACAACAGCTACCAAGCAAATAGGAATGGCATATATGCTTGGAAAAGATTAAAAAAAAAAAAAAAAGCAAATCCCAGATATTCAAAATCCTTCACAGCAGTCTCTCAACATTCATCCCTGGGCTGGTGCTGATCTGTGACCAAGTTTTTGCATGCATTTGCACCATAATGGAAAAAAAAATGAAAAAATATGATTTTTTTTCATAAAGTTTAACTTTTCCTCAACTGAAAGACTTTTAATTTTAAAATTGTATGGCTAATTCTTTTGAGTACTAAAATGACCTTCTATATAAAATGATGGTAAACACGGATGAAATTTTTCCAGTACATTCACATATTTGTTTCCTTGTTAAAAAAAAAAAAAGGTGGAGTCTTGTAAAATCTAAAAGTCTCAGAAACTCTTCTCTAGTGTAAAGTTGTCCAGATGGCCTATCAGAGTTTGCATTTTTACATAATATCACATTTTTAACTATGAAAACAGAAGATAAATCTTTCCGCTATCTCCTCTTTATTAGAAAAAATACTGAACATAATTTCCTTCTTCTTGAAAACTCAGAGGCCACTGTTATGCTCCTTTATTGTACCCTAGTGTAAAGATAAGAAACTTCTTATGTCTATTTTAAATGAACCCAGGCTACCCTATGTCTTGAATTCTTCTGCAGGATTATTCTCCTAATTTTACGTTCTTATCCTTTAGTTTTATCAACTATGAATGCATCAGGTTGGAGCTGGTAGCAGTTCCTTTGCTCTGGCTTCTTCCTCTCCCTGCCACAATTTTGTTGAAAACTGGGCAACACACTTGATGGATGAGAACAAAGTTCAGAATTTTAAGTATCTGACCACTGAAACATCTAATTTTGTTTGGGAGGCAATTACTGGAGACAGAATCTATTGACAACCATTCCCATCCCCTGTCTGCTTTTTTTTTTTTTTTTTTTTTTTTGACGGAGTCTTGCTCTGTCACCCAGGCTGGAGTGCAGTGGCAGGATCTTGGCTCACTGCAAGCTCCGCCTCCCGGGTTCACACCATTCTCCTGCCTCAGCCTCCCAAGTAGCTGAGACTGTAGGCGCCTGTCACCATGCCCAGCTAATTTTGTTTTTGTATTTTTAGTAGAGACTGGGTTTCACCGTGTTAGCCAGGATGGTCTAGATCTCCTGACCTCGTGATCCGCCCACCTTGGCCTCCCAAAGTGCTGGGATTACAGGCGTGAGCCACCATGCCCAGACCCCTGTCTGCTTTTTTACTCTACAGAGCCCTGAAAGGTTTTTTTGCAGCTAGCAGTGGCCATGTGAAATGGTGCCAACTTATGGAATCTAAACAGAAGTCTTTATAAGATTTCTGGGGACATTTCCTAAGACAGGCATTGGGCCATCCTCCTTCCTGCTTCATCTTTAGTAGATATAGATGTGATGTGTGGAGGTGCATAAACCATTTTGAAATCATAGATGAAAAGTATGATATGAAATGAACATTCTATGGATCCTGGAGTGGGAAAATTAAAAGAGCCTGGGCACCTGGAGGCATTTTTGAGTCATTTTGCCAGCCCTGCATGTGTACTTCCCACAAAACCACTTGGAATGGGAAACAAATAAACTGCTAATTGTTTAAGCTTCTCCTGGTTATTTGCAGTTAAACATATTCTATACCATACCTCAGTATACCCCATTTCTCTACATGTAGGTTCCATTGAATTTGTTCTACCTTTAAATATTCCCCAAGGAGATTTCAGAATTACAAAATACAGCCAAGGTCACTTCCAAATTGCTGAAGAAAGTTTCATATGAACAGAGGGAAAATGTATAACCAAAGTACATTAGTAACTTGTACCTCAATTTTCTTTGGAAGAATGAAAAGGATATATAATATAAGGAAATATTCCGAAGGACACAAGCCGAGAGAGAGAGAGAAAGGGCCTTGTGTTACTATAAAATGATTCATTCCTGTTCTTTTACTGTTTCAACAGTCAAACCAACAAATACACCTTCTGATGTCAAATTTATTGTGGATATATTTTGAAAATTTCTTCTCTGGTGCATCTTTAAATAACAAGTCATATACTATGGAAAAAAGTTGTCAGTAATTATCAAAAAGCTCAGAGGCACTTGTTCAGCAGCCAAGAATGAGAAATTCAAGCAAACGGCAGAGAGCTTCATAATGGATTTAATAACTAACAATTTGGTGCAAATCGAAATCAAACGTCCCATCTACAGGATGTTTATCATTGATTTTTCTCCTTTCATTTCAATAAGATGTTAAAAAGTCTGTGTTAAATAACTTTAGACAGCGAAGAGCTCATCTGCGTTGATTTTTTTTAAAAAGAGCTCATGTGAATAAAATAAAACAGAAATGTTTGTGTCAGCTTCTCTTCATTTTTCAATTTATTACCTGATGACTCATGGAGAGCACCAAAAGCAGAGTGCTGTGATCCATGAATGTAGATTTCACAAATAATTGAAAGTGTACACTAACATTTCCCCATTCTAACAGTGAAGGCCTAGGCCATCTTTAGCCTTTTGGAGGAATTCTTTTACTCCTCAGAGGAAAGCTGCCTGCATTGGGTGAAAAGATGGAACCTGCATATCCTGAGTAAAATTAAGAATCTAGCTCATTCAGAAGTCAAACTTAGAAGCAGAAAGAAAGTTTTAAAATATTAGAAAATAGAGGGAAGAAAACCCAGACATAAATCTGTCAGCCTATTAAAAACATAATTACTATACACATTTTATGTATTTTTAATGGTAAAATTTTCCTTTGCTTCTTTTACAAGTGCATTGTGTGTATGTAATTATATATTCTGGTTTTTTAACTGACTTTTTGTAAGGAATTTCATGTTGTCACAGTCATTATGATCATCATTTTAAGAGACTATATTATAATTCATATTTAGTATAGTACAATTTTCTTACTTTTCTTTGGGCATTTAAGTTGTTTCTAATACCATAATATGTTGTTTAAAATGCTACACTAAAAAATTATCATGTTCTCTATTTTAGATTCTTTCTTTAGGATATATTTTCCAAGGTGAGATTACTGGGTTAAAGGGTATGAAGACTTTCATGACACATTATACGCACTGCCAACTTGTTTTATAAAATGGTTGTAAAAATCATGCTCCACCAGAAATACATGAAAACTATTTGTTAAGAATTTATACTGACAGAGGGAATATGACATTCCAGGCTGAAGTAGGTGGGAGCCACTTAAATATCTATTTCTACAATAATATTTCTTTTCCACAGAGTATTCCTAGGAATACTCATTTCTATTGTTGCTTTCTGAAGACGATGTTGGTGATCAAATATTATGAAAGCACATATTCACTGTCTTAGTCCATTTGGGCTACTATAACAAAATGCCATAAACTGGGTAGCTTATAAGAACAGATATTTATTTCTCACAATTCTGGAAGCTGGGAAGTCCCAGATCAAGCAACCAGCTTGTTTTCTGATTCATAAATGGTGCCTTCTTGCTGTGTAAGAGGGTCATGGCAGCTCCTAGGACCTCTTTTACTAGGGCATTAATTCCATTAATGAGGGCAGAACCCTAATCACCCAACCACCTCCTAAAAGACCCCATCTCTTAATACTAACAATTTGGGGATTAGGATTTCAACATATGAATCTGGGGAGGACACAAACATTTAGACCATAGCACTCACTAACCTGTCTCTAAGATATTCCCTTTACACAGTAATATATTCAAAGTTCTGGGATATGCTGCCAGAAAGACAATTCTTTAGCCACTTTTCCCGAACATACCTCCCACTTAGTGTCCCTGCCTTTTGATGGCACCTGCTCTCATCTTACTTTGTAAATATGCTCTAACAAACATAAGAAAAGGATAATGTGCACATTCTATGCAGTTGTTAGTTAGGCACACAATAATCCCTCCCCATGCCCAAATCTGAATCAATTCCAGAAATTTCCTGCTGCAAAATGATGGCAGGAATAGCCTAAGGCCAAGTGCCTAGATATTAGATCTGGATTAGCCCAAACCTAGTCTGTATGGCCCCAAGGTTTAAGATTCCCTCAAGAATTTGGGGAGGGCTAGAAAGAGAAGAAGTATATAGTTATCTCTAGCCAGCTGAGGTTCTGCTTACAAGAAGAATTCTTCTCTTTTTCTTCCCTCATTTTTTCTCTGATTTGTTTAAACCATTCCTGGTTTATGTGATTCTTCTTTTGTAATGAAGCTGCTGTTGTATCACAAATAAGGGCGGAACCATAGGAAAAGGAGAAGTGCTAGTGTAACAGCAACTTTGATAGAATATTCCACATTAACCACTTGCCACAGGGTAGAGTAACAGTCAATAGCACCACTTGCTATTAATAGTAGTATCAACTACACTTATTCCAGGTTAAGAAAAGGTTTAAACCATTTCCTTAAAAGATAAGTTGGCAGTTTCTCTGAATTTTAATTCCATTTGGTATTACCCCACTAACAACAGATAAAAACCACTTCAGGTAGTAATCTTAAATCACTTGTTAACAAGGTGTCCTTGAGGTTTACAACACTAACTGACAGAGGCACTTAATAAAAGTTTGGCAACTAAATGAACTACAATGAACAAAGATAAACAGATCAAGTCTTAGGCCTCTAGAGCAGAAAATAGAAATGGCAGCAGGAACAGAACTAAAGCAACAGAACTGAGCTCACACAGAAGAACAATAGAAACTAAATAAGTTAAACTATTGATATCATCTATAAGTTTGATAATTTGTTCTAGGCGAGAACATGAAACTCTGATATGTGAATAGGATTCAAATCTAACATGAAGATTTACTGGAGTATCAGAGATATATGTGAATAGCACTCAAATCTAACATGAAGATTTACTGGAGTATCAGAGAGATGCAGTCAAAAATATTATTTGGCAACATAAATCTAAAAACCTGTCAACTTTATCATGTCACTCTCTAATAAATGATCTAGTTGAAAAAAAGAATAAAAGAACACAGCTCAAATTCAACAGCAATATTATCGATGTGGTTAAAACTGTGGACTCAGAATCCGGAAAGATTTGGATTCAAGTCCTGATCCTATCATTTACACACTTCCAGGCTTTGAGGAGGACACTTATTTGCTATAGCATACAGTTTTTTCATATGTAAAATATTACCTCAAAGAGTCATTGAGATAATGAAGCATTTAGCACAATGCCTAGGTCGTAATAAATATTCTATAACTATTAACTATTAGTAAAGTATTAACGGATTTTATTTGTGAGCCTCAGTGACAAAATACAGGACCAACTTGGACTGAGACCCACCTTAATTAATAGCTACAGAAAAGAACTGCTGAATTACATTTTGGGCTGAAGCCCAGAGAGACTGAGTGGTTTTCTGAACTGCTGGAACCCAAGAATTTCAATTCTTAATCTGTGTTCTCTTGACATGACCCAGCACTCCTGTGCCTCTGGGTGTTGCAACTGTGCTAGACCTGACTTCTAATGATAGGAGAAATTTCATCAATGTCATCTCAGAGCCATACTTAAGACAGCAAGGCTGGATCACCAATATATAATAAAATCTTTAATGAAATCAGTCCTCCAGGATTAAAGTGCTATTTCCCAATTTTCTCACACCAGACTTAAGTTGGGAAGGGACTACCACACAACATCAAAGGAAAAGTTGGTGTAATGAGCTGATAAGGGATGTACACCCAGAGAAATGGCAGTGCCTTACTGAAAAGACTTCTTACACTTTTCTATTTGATTACCAAAACTTGGTGGCTATGATACAAAAATTAAAGCAGTTCTCACTCTGTATTAGATAAATTTCCTTTATGGGTATTTTCCCTTTGCTTTTTTTTTTTTTTTTTAAAGGAAGGAATAAACTAAGGCTATATTCTTAGAGTTCTAAATCATTAAACATATAACACAGTATCAGACCTTCTTTCCTCCACGTGACTCTTGGAATAAAGTCATTAAGTCAAGATAAAACATCCTGTTTCAAGGATAACAGTCTTGGGGAAGGACCCAGTGAAAAGTTGGCTCTACCCAACACCACCAAAGTCTGGAGATGTGCCTTATAAAAAGTCTATGTCCTGTTTCCTGAAATGCCATAGGTAATATTACATTTCTGCCATTAATGTTATGACCTGGGGTCCAAACCTACTGTTTATTCCATTTCTCCTATAAATATAGAAAATTAGATGCAAAGAGCTGAGCAGTGATACAGGAGGAGTCAATTTCATTATATTCTATTCAACCACATTCATCCACAGTACTCAAATATTATGAGAGGAGACCTGGTGCCAGGAGTACAGGAATGGGGAGCCAGTGATTGGAATCTTCTTAATCTTACTCTTTTGCCCATCAACCAAAAAAAATTGTTTTCTTTTTAAAACATTCACCATTAAAGAATGTTTAATGGAGTCAAACCATATGTGAAGGCTGGAAAAACTGTAATAGACTGTAATCTTTGACATTTTCCACATAAGTCATTCTGCAACATCTGTTCACTGTGGGAATTCCCAAGATGTCAATAATTAAAAATGAGTTCCATATATGAGACTGAAAGGCAGACAGATAGAAAGAGGAGATAAATCAGATATGTAATACCCAAATAAGGATTGTTCTTACTGATCAAAACATGGGAAAATGGAACATTGAGAGAATCTCAAGCTGAAAGGCTACAAGGCCTTGGCCATAATATGTATGACAAGTTGATGGGCAACTTTTCCTGTTGTCCTGGAATCTATGACAAACCCCAAATGCTGAGGCCAAATAGACATCAAGTATTCTGTGTTCTAGAAAGACCTGCCAACGATGAGGGCCAGAGCTTATTAAAAGGGTGTCATGTTAGCACTGCTACACTGGTCATCCCAATCTGTATAACCAGAAGGCTAAGGCTAGAGTGAAGTAGCCTGCATTTCTACCATTTTATAGGGCAATACTGTGGGAGCTGAGAGACTTCCAGAAAATAGCATCCTGGCTGTCTTGTCAGTGCCTCCCCAACACTGCGGGCTGGCAGTTGAGAGAATCCCATCCATAGAGTTCACCACTTAGCAGGAATTAAGGGAAATGTGAGGGTCAAAATTGTCTAGCAGAAGCCAGAATCTATGTCAAGGAACTATGCTTTGAGGAATTCTCACAGTAATCTCCAAAATACATGAAAAGCCAGGGGAGGGGCTCCTACCACATAATTCCTGCTTCTCCTACTACTAACTATGGTGTCCATCATATCTATGTGGCAGAAGCCCCAAATCTGGCCTCCTCATAGGACTCTTGCCTTTTTCCCACAGGTTCTAAATGTCTATCTCAGTACCAGAAGAATCTCAACTTCAAAGAGGATTGAAAGAGAACTCACTTTCTTCTTCATTTAATTAAACTAATTCATTACTTTATTTTTGAGATGGAGTCTCACTCTGTCGCCCAGGCTGGAGTGAAGTGGCATGATCTCGGTTCCTGGGTTCAAGCGATTCTCCTGCCTCAGCCTCCTGAGTAGCTGGGATTACAGGTGTGTGCCACCATGCCCAGACAATTTTTGAATTTTTAGTAAAGACGGGGCTTCGCCAAGTTGGCCAGGGTGGTCTCGAACTCCTGACCTCAGGTGATCCACCGGCCTCGGTCCCCCAAAGTGCTGGGATTATAGGCATGAGCCACTGCACCAGGCCTCACTTTCTTCTTTAAAGCAGTTCCCTCAAGTCTAGGGTCAAAACTAAACTAGGAAGAAGAGAAGAGACAAGATGAGAGTTTTAAATGAGATTGGGGCAAGTATTCAAAAACTGAGCAGGGACTGGAAAAATATAGAAATTGACTGAGATCACACTATAGCTAATACTTACTGAATGCTTACTATATACTAGGCACTGTTTTAATTGATTTAAATAATTTATTGCAACTTTACAACAGCCCTTTAAAGTAAGTACTATCATTCCCATTTTAGAGATGTGGAATGATACACAAAAGGTTAAGTAACTTTTCTGAGGTCACGCAACCAGCACGTGGTAGAAGCAGGTGGCTCAGGTCCTCACTATTAATACCATTTCCTTCTACTTCTCACAATTAAGAGGCTACAGAGACACAAAATGTGCTTTAAGGAGAAACAAAACCATTTCATATTCCTATCCCACTGCTCAATAAACTGGTTACATATCCGTATGAGACACATAAGAAATGTTGACTGAAATGAGTTAATTCTGAAGGGACTAGGATAGATGGGACCATCTATCCCTTATACATATATATTTCTAGATATAAAACAATATTACTGGCCTTATTTTTTATATTACCCTAATTGAAAATAATATAAGGAAAATGTAAACACAGACATGAATGTAGCTTAACGTTTAGGAATTTTCTAAGAAGAAATTGAGTTATTTCACCTAATTTTCAACTGACAAACCAGTGTTCATTACTAATCTATACATCACTGCTTGAGCTGGGAAGAAATGGTCCAGTTTCTAAGCATGAAGATATGTTTTTAAAATATTATTTCCAACATCTTTTATATTTAAAATTAGATACAATGAATTCATTTCTAGCAATTTTATATAGAGGGTGAGGCAGCCCAAAAAGCCTGTGAAGTCTCTGGTTTGGGGAATTTTGTCCAACCCCCTGCAACTCAGTCACAGTTAGGATCACAGAAAAGTAGAGTCTTCTGAAGAATATTCTCGTCCATCTTATTTATCACTACAGGCAATCTCTCTATTGAACTTAGATGAGTAAAGTTTTAATTGCTTGATCTTTCCTTCAGTAACTATTGTTGAGCCTTTATTTGTGGGTTATATTCAATTTCTTATAGATTTTTTTCTTGCCTATAATCTAAAAATAAATACATACATATAAAACCTAAGACTTCTCTTTATCGTTGTTTGTTTCCCTTTCTTATTAACTGGGGAGCCTGTATTTCCTTTTGCCTTGCTCTTGTTTCAAATGTGTTTTAAAAGGTTTTCTCCTTCTCCTTGGTGACCTGCTCTAATTGGAACTCATTTTGTGTCTTGGCCTTCTGACTGCCCTGCAGGCTTCTGCTGTTCTCTTCCTCTCGTCCTTGCAGATCTGCCCTTGTTCAACAGATAATTGCTTTTTGCATTTCAGATATTAAAAACAGACTATACCTTACAGATGGTGGACTCCTATGGTTTCCTTATCTTTCTTTTCATCAGCATGGTTATCTCTATGATTTGCTTTTAATACTGTCATACTTTTTACTTTTAAAGAAATTCCCGGAACTCTCTTGCATCACTTTTCCTCTGAGAGGCAGTGTCCATGGGACAGTCTCCTCAATATGCTAAGCTCTATCATGTGTCTGTTTTATCCCTCTCTGAATTCTGCTTCTTTATTCCTTTGCCTTCCCTAGTATCTGCTATTTCCCCACTATTAGTGACTGATAAGGTGGCTCAGTACTATAATTACTCTACTTGCCATGTATTGAATTACTGGTGGGCTGGTAGCCTCTTTCATTTCAGGCCATTGCTGTGACTTCAAGCAAATATTATTCCCATTGTAATGAGCGTTAAGAAAATAAACCTAGAGGTATATAATCCAAAACACTCTTTTCCCAATGGCTGTATTTTCTGAAATTCTGTTATTTTCCTCACATAAATGTTCTTCTATTACATAAGAGTCTCTCTTCTTTACTCTAGTTCAGCTAAATATTTTATTTTTATTTACATATTTATAAAGGGCTATAGGCACACACACAGCACTTTCAGAGCAGTAAAGAGAACCAAAATCAAAACATGATCTTCACCCCAAGAGCTTAAAATCTATTTTCATATTTCCAGTATTTTTCAGAACTGCCCTAAAATGAGTCTTTTAGGAGAAAGCTTGAATATACAATTGTATTTGCAATATCTGCAGAACCTAGACAACTCAGAAATAAATTTACTTTATCCCAGGCACAGCTATCGGGGTTGTAAATATGTAAATAGGTTCCGGCCTTTCACACCTGAATGAATGGATTGTATACTGCAGAAACCTGCTTGGCTTGAGAGATTTAATTAAGACAGGAATGCAAGAGTTTTCTTGGGACAAACAGAATTACAGCATTTCATAGATAATATGGAAAAATTTATGAGCATATCACAGTCACCAAATTTAACATTAGTTAGTTGGATTTTCCTGTTGTTATGTCTAGATGACTTTTGAATACAGCTTTGAGCAAAAATCATGATAGTGATGAAATTCTTCACAGAAGGGAATGGTAGTTCAAATCAGGAATCTTTGAACAAACTAGCAATTGAGTCCTAGGATTAAATACCCAGTGTTTATTACTAGAAACTTTCCTGAAGCCTCTCAGAGCTAAAAATACCTTCAAAGAAAATTTCTTACAGACGTATGCACTAAAACTAAGAGAATTAAGAACTACAAGCTCCCTGAGGGTAGGAAACATTTTCTATTTCAGTAGGGACAATGTTTTGGTCACTGTTGAATGCCTCCCCCTCTCATTTTCTGTGTGGCTATCAAATAATTTGTGACCTATACCCTACACCACTTGCCTGCCTTGTGTGCCCCAGACACCTGTAATTCCCTAGCATGAAAATCATGCTGCCTTTAGGTACTTCAATTACATCTCTGTCTTCACCACATGACTATAAATTCTTTGATGGTGTCTTTGATCCCTGTATCCACAGGGCACTGCACAGTGCCCAAATGCTGGTTGATTAAATAAATGAATTAAAGGATAGATAGATGGAATTAATTGAACTGAACTAATCATAAATGGTAATTTTATGTTCTGAGCTTAATCACTCTTCACTCTAACTCTCTCAGGAAATCTGTTCATGTTCCTCATTTCTTTTCTCCCTAAACATACAAGCATCTATCCAATGATTTTAAAGGTGCTGTACTGATTACAAATCCTACTTTTGCTCCCAAAATGAATATTTTAAAAGTCCTTCTGTGTCTGCATTGACAAATATTTTATTTTACACCATGAGCCACTGCAACACCATTGAATACTAAAGATAAACAGAAAGGCAACTTTACTATTTGATTATGTACTAATTATCCAGTCGCCTGTCTTCTTTTTATATGAACATGTCTTTTATCAAAAGAGATTCATCTTTCAAATTAAAGTATTTCTTAAATCATATTAAAGTATTTCAGAGGTTAAAAGAGGAATCACTTAATTCCATTTTGCATTTAGAGAATGTTTGTATTAATAGCAATGTTATTAATAGCATTCTTCTATGTCCCCATGTCAGGCGTATGAGATGCATGAGATATAAGAGACTAAGAACAAAGGAAGAGTCAGGCCCCCTTGGATCTTACAAATCCAGTGGTCATGGACAGCGAGATGATGCTCTTGGGGTTTCCCATACAGTCAGGGGCAGAGCAGTTTTCATGCCTCTCTTCCTGTGCCTCCCTGGTGACTGGGACACTGTTTCACCAGCCCCTCAATGTCTATGTATGCCGCCACCTCCAGGCTACTGCCTTCTGCCACACACCAAATCTTGCATAAAAAGGAAAATTAAGCTTTCATTCAACAAATAAGTTTTGAGTAACTGTGAAGGTAAAATAAAGAATGCTAGAGGCATACAGCAGTTTTTCATCAGTCTTTTAATGTTTTCCTGTCAAGCTACAGGACAGAAAGTTAAGGGGATCAGGAAATAGAGGTTTGTCAGGAAGAATACAACTGAAGTCAGAAATCAGAACCAACTACTAAAAACAATTAAATCAGAATGTTTTGTGTTATAAGGAAAATCATTCATGCTTAGTCTTCTCTTAGGAGAATAATCACAAATTTAAGCTAAGACAGAGATAGACGGTGAAAGGAAGACATATTTTCTATTTTTCCCCCTTGGGGCATATATATGAATTTCCTTGTCCAAAATTAATAGTATTTAAAAAGTAGCAAGTGAGTTTTGTTTGCAAAACTGTAATTTGCAAACGGAAGCAGTTATAGTAATACAAAGGCATTTATTGGCTAATCTAGATAATTGAATCACAGTTTAATTTAAAAATTATATATATATATATATCTCTCTCCATTTTCTTACCGAGCATAACTCTTTTCTCCTTAAATATAGGGCACATTGTCCTTTCAGTCATTAAGAAACTAAAACTTACAGATGTGCTCTTGGTGTTTTGCAAGGGCAATTCACCAAAAGTCTTGAAGAAATAAAGCAGTGACCTGTGGTGAAGTGTCAGCTTTTAATACAAGACCGAGTTGCCATAATAGGGAAATTTATCTTGCTTTAAATTATAGATTATCATGGATTCATTCTCATCAAATGACATAAAACACTATCCACAACTCTCCTCATAAAACATTCCCACAAGCTGTGGGAAATACAGCTGGAATGAAATCAGTTACTAGCTTCCTTTTATTCCATCTCTAAAACTCCATGAAAAGGTCAGATTTTTGACGTCCATCCTAATTTAACACAGTGCATGTGAAGTGTGGGAAAAAAAAAAAAGCTTCCTTTGGACCTTCCAATCTACAAGATGAGAGGGCTCACAAATTCAATGATGGTATTACAGTTTTCCCTATAAAGTTCCTGGTTTGAATTCTGCCCAAGTCATCAGTTGTTGGAATTGCTACCAATCAGTGAATGCAGGAAAACATCTAAGAAAAGTAATCACCTCTTTCATTGCAAAAGTATTGGCACAACAGACTACCTTAATGGCAAGAAAAGAGTCAACATGGGCCAAAGAAAAAAAATTAATCTTTCAGAATTATTTCCTTTTGCAATATTCTGTGATGGTAGAATGCTGCACATATGTAATAATTAGTTAACTCTAGTATTTCTATTTAGAAACCTGAGTTCAACCACTTGAATATAAACACTTATCTAATTCTCATGTTGCAAAACACTCAGGAAAGGGGCGGTTCTGTATATCAAACAAACAAGAAACTTAATACATGTGGACCTGACCTAAAATGCCAAAAGTAATCAAGACATAAACATACATATATACATACAAACTAAAAACTCCATGTTCCAAAATTTCTATGGAACTACAAAACACTCCAAATAGCGCAATCTAAAGCAACAAAGAACAAAATTGGAGGCTTCACACTACCTGATTTTCCAATACACTGTAAAGCTATAGTAACCCAAACTGCATGGTACTGGCATACAAACTGACACATAGACAAATGGAACAGAATGAAGAGCCCAGAAATAAATCCATGCATTTACACTCAACTGATTTTTTATAAAGGACATGAGAACACACAGTAGGGAAAGGACAGTCTTTTCAATAAACAGTGTTGGGGAAACTGGATATCCACATGCAGAAGAATGAAATTAGGCCCTTATCTCACAGCAGAGACAAAAATCCACTCAAAATGGATTAAAGACGTAATAGTAAGACCTGATACTACAAAACTACTTGAAGAAAATATAGGGAGAAAACTCTATGACATTGGTCTGGGCAATGACTTTTTGTATATGACCCCAAAAGCACAGGCAACAAACGTAAAAACAAACAAAAATAATTACCTCAAACTAAAATGCTTCTGTATAGCCAAGGAAACAATTAATAAAGAGACAACCCAAATAATGGAATACATTTTTTTCAAATTATACAACTAATAAGTGGTTAATATCTAAAATCTATCAGGAACTCAAACAACTCTACAGAAAGAAAACAAGTAACTTCATTAAAAAATGGGCAAGGGTCCTGAATAGACATTTCTCCAAAGAAGACATACAAATAACCAGGAGGTATATGAAAATATGCTTAACATTGCCAATCATCAGAGAAATAGAAATCAAAACCACAGTAAGTTATCACCTCACACCTGTTAAAATGACTATTATCAAAAGACAAAAGATAAGTTTTGACAAGAATGTGGAGAAAATGAAACTCTCACATATTGTTGGTGAAAATGTATTTGAAACCATTATGGAAACCTGTATGGAAGTTTCTCAAAAAATTAAAAATACAATTATCATATTATCATATGATCCAGCAGTTCCTGCTGGGTATATATCCAAATGAAATGAAATCAGTCTGCCAAAGAGATATCTGCACTCTTATGTTCATTGTAGCACTATTCATAATAGCCAAGATAGGAAATCAACTGAAGTGTCCATCAATGAATGAATAAGGAAAATGTGGTACATATACACAGTGGAATACTATTCGGCCTTAAAACAGAAATTCTGTCATTTGCAACAACATGGATGAACCTGGAGGATATTATGTTAAGTGAAATAAACCAAGCACAGAAAAACAAATACTTCATGATCTCACTCATATGTGGAATCTAAAAAATTTGACCTCGTAGATGTAGAGAGTAGAATGATGGTTACCAAGGGTTAGGGGGAGGGGTGAGGTGGGTGGCAGGCTGGGGAGATGTTGGTTGTAGGATACAAAATTTTAGTTAGACAGGAGGAATAAGTTCAAGGGATTAATTGCACAACATGGTGACTATTGTTAATACGGTACTATATTCTTTAAAATTCTAAGAGAATAGAGGTAAAGTGTTCTCATCACGAAAATGATAACTACGTGCATAATACATAGTTAGCTAGGTTTAGTCATTCTACAATGTGTATATATTTCAAAACATCATGCTTTATATAATAAATACATACAGTTTTATCTGTCAATGTTAGAAAATGAAATAAAGTGAAATTTTAAAAAAGAAAACTCCATGAAGTTTGGGGACAGAGATGTTACTTCCAGTTATGGTAAACAAAATTTTAATAAAGATATAAAATATAGATTAGGCTTTCAATGGGACTAGAATGGTGCTATTTGTGGTTGTAGGAAATGACGGGTAAAGAGGACATTATAGGTAAAAGTAACCATACAGCTACTATGTATTTATGAAGCAGGACAAAAATTATGAATGTTTAAATTTCCTCAGTCTCCTACCACTTCACTTTATCCTTCTTCATCTTTTTTTTTCTCCCAAACTCTGAATAGAATTTTCCAACTACAGGATATTAATTTAATAGAAAAAAAGAAGAGAAGAGACAGGAAAGGATGTGTAAAATCCAGGAGCACTGGTCATAGGGAAGCACGTTTCTCAAAAGCCCTGCAAAGGGGGCTCTTGAGCAGCATGAATCTTGCAGGTAGTAGTCACTCATTTCCACAAGTCCTGTGAGGTTTCATCTCTCTTACAGAGCAGAAAGCTGAGGCTACAAGAAATGGTAAACTTGTGAAGGTTATCCAGCTGGTAAGCAACAGGACTCAAGCACAGGTTAAGCTGATTCTAACCCTGTGATCTTCCCTACACCAAATGCTTTGCATTTACACAGGAAGGAAAGTGTGTGGTGTGTTCTGTGGCTGGAACATCAGGTAGAGAGGAAAGCAGGAGTGTGACTGAGAATGGGTTAGCAGCAAAGGGTCAGAATATCTCAGTAGGAGTAAAAGAAGACAGTTTTTCAGGTATAAATCAAGTAACTGATCTTTCTCCTACATTCTTGGAAAGGAAGAGAATAAGATGTCCAGAACATAGCAACAGGAAGTGACATAGAAAATGGTGTACACTCAAGTAACACAATGGAGAAACCAAATGAAGATTTCTGATATTCTAATGGCATATAAACATTTTGGATTCATGCTTCAAAGCTAGGGATAAATACTCTGTGGTATACTAGCCTAGGCTCCACTGTTGCTGGTTCTCAGATGCAGCCTCCACATTCCCATAGAGATCCCAAGGCTATCTGTCTGGGACCTGCTTTTCCAGTTAAAAAACAGGAAAATGGCATCTGCCCAATGTTGAAGCTTCAAGTACTATAGACACATTAGGACTTAAATATTCTCTTTTCTTTTATGTAAACAGGAGAATCAGAGAAGATGGAAGGAGTGAAAGAAGACACTGAAAAACACAATACTAAAGAAGCCCATTACAGCAACTTCCTAAAGCACTTTGTAAAAGGCACAAATATGTCTAGAATATTTTTCCTAATATTTATGGGAAATTAAAAAAAATATTAATTAGGAATCAGGAGAGTAATCTTTGCAGTAAAACGACCTCATTTCTACCTCAATAACTATTGTCACTCTAAAAATGAGAGAAGAAAACATTTGGGCATGTTTTGGTGATATTTATTGCTTCTGTCTTTACCTGTCATTTTCAAACTCATCTTTTCTGACTTAATGACTTAACTTTGCTTATGGCAAAGGCTCAATACACCTTTTATTTCAGCTGAGATTCTGTGCTTAAAAAGAGACCTAAGCAAAACATTTTACAGACTATTCCTGAGAGAGCTCAGAATTAAATTCTTAAATGTTCTACCATAATGAAATTTTGTGTAATCAGCAGGGAAGTAGCTGTTGGCCATTTATCAGTTTTTCCAGTTGCATTTTTTATGCATGAAAAGCATAATTAGAAGCTCCACAGGTTGAAAGCCTTATATAATAATAGTACATTTTATCAGAATGGTGCTTTTTAACTTGGAAATTTTAGAGCATTTTACAGTGATGATCTATTAGTAATAATAGCTATCACATCTTTGTATATTTAAATATGGACCTGTATGTAGAACAGAGAATGTACTTATAAAACTAACTAGACTTGCCTAGACCTTGTACATATGATCTCAATGACTCTAAGTATATGCAAATAGTCCATCATCTATATTTTATGTATTACAGGATATCCAGGGATGGGAAAACGTGCACTGGATAAAAATCTCGGAAATAATTAAAACTACATTTTCAGTTTTACAAGGACATTCATGTATAGTTCATCTTTTAATCTTAATAATGGCTTTTGTCCCATTTTAGAGATGTGGTAATTCAGACCAGAAATATAATGGCTTTGCCTGAAGTTTCCTATCTGGTGACTCACTCACAACTGAGGCCCACACCTTCCTGAGTCCAGGGACTGTTCTCCTCATACATAGTTACACGCAGGGACTTCCCTATGGAATTTCTGGGTGTTGAAGCAGGTCATCTTACTTTTAAGTCAGTTTGCTAACCTGTATAATGAAATAGTAGTTCTAAAAAAATCTTCTCTCACAGCTGCAAATCTCTACAAATTGTCTAAATTCCCCTCTAAATAGGAGAAAAAGAGCCTCAGTTGCAACGTAAACAAAATTTGTGCTCTGTGAGGGAAAAGAAATGTGACTTTTATAAAAAGTCTTATCACTTTAAAAAATGCTGACATCCCTGAAGATAGATTGCTGGGGCTCTCTTCTCTCCTTGCTTCTCCTCTTTCTCCCTCCCCACCCTTCTCTTTTTTCTTGTTAATTTTTTATTCTTAACATGGAGAAAAAAACTTGCCTCTCTTAGGCAGTATTTGCAGTCATGATATTTTTATATTGTAGTATCATTTAAGTTGGGTCATAACCTACTACGGCTTATGAAGATAATTTAGTGAGCTGTACCAGTATTTTGAAAAATGAAATAGACCCGAATACAACAGACTGTAATAGAAAATATTGGAACACATTCTATTTAAAAAATTAGTCAAATTTGGAAGAAAGAAGTTAAAAAGTTGGGCAGTATATCTTTCTATATCACCCATGGGCATTACTGGCTCATATGGCCCATTATTGTTACAACCAAGAATTATTCAGGGAAATGAACTTAGTTTGACTCACTACTAATAAAGAATCCAAGATTTAGTAAAAATGCATGTTAAATTATACATTTTTATTAAGTATAGATGCAAATTATTTCTGTCCAGTAAATAGATAACACTAAATTTTATGGTTAATTGTCCTTTAGTACATTAATCAGTTTTCTATCTAACCTAGTAATCTTAATATCTTTTCATTAAATTGTTCATAAACATCTAGCACTTCAAATAATCTTATAATCTTAAAATCCTATTGGATGTCTTATTAGTAAGTTAAATAAAATTCTGGATGTGCTCATTTTACTTTTCTATGATGTATTAGTCAGGGTTTTCTAGAGAAATATGACTAATAGAATACATATAGGTATGAGAAGAGGATATTTATAATGAGAATTGACTGATGAGATTATGGAGCCTGAGAAATCCCGTAATATGTTGTCTACACGCTGGAGAATCAGAAAAGCCAATAGTGTAATTCACCTTCAAGGCTAAAGGCTTGAGAATGAAGGAGTGCAGGGGAAGTGGTGGGGGCACTGGTGTAAGTCCCAGAGTCCAAAGGCCTGAGAACTAAGAGCTCTGGTGTCCAAAGGCAGGAGAAGATGAATCTTCCAACTGAAGAAGAGAGAGAAAGGGAGAGAATAAACCCTTTCTCTGCCTTTTTGTTTTACCTGTTCCCTCAATGGATTGGCTGAATAATGCCTGCCTACACTGGTGAGAGCAAATATTCTTGAATCTAGTGAGTAGTCTACTGATTCAAATGCTAATCTCTTCCAGAAGCACCCTTACAGACAGACCCAGACACAATGTTTCACCAGCTACCTAGGCATCCCTTAATCCAGTCAAGTTGAAGCATAAGCATCACCTATAAGAATATTTTAACTTTTTAATATTATACTTTGACAATCCTATATAATACTAGGTAAGTATTGTTTGATAAAACTGGTTTCAATTATCATGTATATATGGATATATAATAAGTAACACTGTAAACTGTATTTCATATTGTGGATCATGCTCAAAAGTGTTTGAAAGTCAATGAATTAAAAAATGTATCCAATGACCTCTTTGAAATCTCCTATATTTTTCCAATTCAAATGATCCTGCTTTATTGCTTTTCTTTATTTTTAAACCTACACTTCAAACAACCAATTTCTTTTTATGTTTCTCTAAGAATTACCTGCAAGAAGTCTAAATTCTAGGAGTAATTTTTAAACTAACTGAGGTGTCAGAGGACTGAGAGCAAATCTCTTCCTGGGGTGGATAGTCCCCTGGGGTGTGAATTGGTGGTTAGGTCTGCAGCAGCAGACTGTCAATTGCTGAAAGGAAGCTCTGCTTCATGGCCAGCTGATTTGCAGAGAGAGACTTGGAAAATGTCAGAAAAAGGGTAAAAGCACAGAGATTACAAACCCAAAATAAACACAGTGTTGGCATGAGGCATTTATTGACTTAGCACAAAATATCATGTGGCATTTTACAATAACAGCAAGATAACTACGTGGGAATTCAATTCATAAGTAACTGCAATCCCAGTAATAAGGACAGAGAAATCAGGGCACAACCGGGCTACATTACAGCCACAGCAAGATGCCTGGCTCAGAATTTCCTCATTCAGACTTGGTTTCCATCTGCCTGTTGGCATCATTTTAACTTTGGCTTCTACATAAAGGCTTTATTGTGGCTTCTCCACTGGAAATACAGTTTCCCTTCTTTGATTCTCCACCAAAACAAGGGGGATGCAATAGGCTGGTGAAAGTTTGGTTGGAAACTCTGTGGCTTTTTCAACTATAATTTATTTTGAGAATCTGCAATGATGGAAATTACATTGTTCTCCCAAAGGAGAAATAAAATAACGTAGCGAATTTTGACTGGGAATATAATGGATGCTTTAGAATTTGCTCTAGTCTAAGTGATTAAATGGAATTGTTTTGTGTATATTCATCTAACATTTCAACTGAAATCTGTTATTGTTCAAGAAATACTCATTCACACTTTTTTCATGTAGTAGCACAGAATGCTTGTAACTGCTATGGGGCAGATTCTAAATCTGAAAATTCGGTACACTGGACAGATACTATTTGCAAAATTCATCAGCAGCATGAACCTTTTATGTTATCAGGAAACAATAAAGGGCATAATTGTCAAGGAATAAAACTTGATCTACTAGATACAAATTACCCTGTTAATAGGAACTATGTATTACTGTCAGTATTTAACAGTGGAGATGGCATTCTAACACATATTTGCTTTGTTTTTTCACTAACTAGTTATAGGACCTTTCATTGGTCAGGTCAACCTCCTCACTTCAGTTACCTCAATTCACAAATGAGACAAACAGTACTAAATTTCATAATGAGACAAACAATAATGCAAAGTAAGTGACAAAATATAGCAATGTATTTTATGTTATAATATGCTGAAAAATATGAAATTCTAATCCATTGGATCTTAAAAATCAATGTCAGTATTTAATGTTTTAATAAATTTATGATTTATAATATTAACCATCAAGATTATAAAGAATACACATGGAAAAGTTATTAGCATAACAATATAAAATTTTAGAAAAGCTATTGATCTCTCAAGAGTCATTAAAAATTAGACTGCTATTTAGAAGTTAAAGGACTCAAGGTCAAATTTAATAAAACATTCATCTAAGCAAGTAAAAAAAGCCTATTTATGAGTTCCCAAAGTCAAACATTCTAAAAGGAGAGAAGTGACAAGCCTAGTGGCAAAATGGAGTCTCTTCTAAAAACCTGGGAGCTTTTGTAGTTTTCACAGGTCAGAAAATGAGATTATATGAGATGGCTGAAGATCATTTGAGTGCAGAGAATTTTACATAATATCTTTCATTATTGAAAAAACTTAAAAATTATATATTATATCCAATTTATTACCTAATGGCCTGGGGAAGAGACATAGACAGTTAGCACTCTAACAAGCCACTCCTTAACTATGGAAACAACCAATATAATGGAATTAATGCTCTCAGGTGGCAAGCAATGGCTTGGAACTTTATAACCTACAGAAACAACCAAGTTTTTACTTCTCTGAAGACAGAGATTCCATTAGGTCAACAAAGCATGACTTCTACAGATGCCCCATGACTGTGTTCTGTGGCATCAGCCACATACTGATTTATGTATAGTAGAATGTTTTACTATAAAAATAAGGATATTCTATAATGCTTAAAAATATGGAATTTGGCAGAGTAGTAGCTCAGATCCTGGTTCCCAAGTTTGCCATGAATTAGTTATAGTTCTAGATTAATGAATAACCTCTCTGTACCAAGTTATAAATGAGAAACGCTGAGTTGTGATGGCAGTCCAAAAGCCAAGAAAGCATATACATCAATACATCTGCAGATAATAGTTTGATCTAGATGGGGTTAAAGTGCTAAGAAAAAAGGGGGGTTTACAGCAACATCTTTAAAAATTAATGTAAATATTTCTCTGAAAATAATGGTGCTTAAAAGAACAATTGTAACATCTTTGGCTGTAGCCCTTTAAAAATAAATCATTAATATACTAGTAACAAGCAGGTTTAATTTGTTTCTTAAAGCAGAAGAGAGAGATCCTTTCTTAGAAGTTGCTGTTTTTATTCTTGCGTTTTGTAAAGATAAGTATCGAAACCACATTTAAGGCTACCCCATCATAATTAATAATATTTATAAAATTTCTTATGCGTGACTACAGAAAAGGAAGCACTATAGCCTTATCTATTTTACATATGTCAAAAGTAAAAATTCAAAAGGAGTAACTTCCTTATGATCATTTAGCTTATGAATACTAGAACCAGCATTCCAGCTCAAATTTTATTCAAAAGTGAACATCCTTTCAAAAGACTCTTGTATATATTAATCTGATTATTGAAGTCAAACTATATTTAACTTCTATGATATTTCAGGGGTATATGGTAATATATAAACTTCCTGACTTCCAGATATTTCAGATATTTTTTACCTTATCTCAAAGGCAGAATATGCATGTTTTGAAAATACTACACCAAGCCTGATGAGGCAGAGTTACTAACATTATACAAGAATGTGTCAACGGCCAGATGTACCTAAAAGAAAATTTTAATTTAATGACAATGAGTTTCTTCCAGTTTATTCATCTCTGAAGATAGGAGCAAGGTCTTTCTTGTTTCATTGTTCCCCTTCTACAATAACCAGAAAGGATATCAATTATTTTTGCCAGACAGGCTGTCACTGCCCCTGGTAAGTAAATACATTTTTAGAAGGTTTCATCTGAAAGGAAGTAAAATATATGTCACTTTCCTAATCAGCTGTCAGGAATCTTTTATTCTAACAAGTC
The DNA here is from genome assembly GCF_000001405.40 of Homo sapiens. Taxonomy (NCBI): domain Eukaryota; kingdom Metazoa; phylum Chordata; class Mammalia; order Primates; family Hominidae; genus Homo; species Homo sapiens. The sequence continues at coordinate 168,579,143 of NC_000003.12, read as the reverse complement.
TTCAGAGAGTAAGATATAATTGCCATTTTAAAGGAGTGATGGAAATTTTCTGTGTTTTCTGAGAAAATTATTCAAGAAAAGATAGTCTTCAAACATGTGACAATTGGGACAAACTATTTTTCCTCTCCCAAAGAAGAATAAAGGGAAATAAAAAACTTAAAGGAAGTGTCTAATTTTAGACTAAGATGTGATAAAAGTGGTAAGTGGTAAATCAATAAGCATCTGTGATTTGGTGAATAAAAAAGAGACTACCAGCTAGGCATGGTGGCTCATGCCTGTAATCTCAGCACTTTGGGAGGCCGAGATGGGTGGATCACTTGAGGTCAGGAATTCGAGACCATCCTGGCTAACACGGTGAAACCCCATCTCTACTAAAAATACGAAAATAAAAATAAAAATAAAAAAACATTAGCTGGGCACAGTGGCAGGCGCCTGTAGTCCCAGCTACTTGGGAGGCTGAGGCAGGAGAATGGCGTGAACCCAGGAGGCAGAGCTTGCAGTGAGCCGAGATCGAGCCACTGCACTCCAGCCTGGGCAATGAGCGAGATTCCGTCTCAAAAAAAAAAAAAAAAAAAAAGGAAAAAAAAAAGAAAAAAGAAATTGCCATTAGGCCAGGTGCAATGGCTCATGCCTGTAATCCCAGCACTTTGGGAGGCCAAGGCAGGAGGATCACCTGAGCTTGGGAGTTCAAGACCAGCCTGCCCAATATGGAGAAACCCCATCTCTACTAAAAATACAAAATTAGTTGGGCTTGGTGACGCATGCTTGTAATCCCAGCTACTCCGGAGGCTGAAGCAGGAGAATCGCTTGTACCTGGGAGGCGGAGGTTGCAGTGAGCAGAGATCGCGCCACTGTACTCTAGCCTGAGAGACAAGAGTGAAACTCTGTCTCAAATAAATAAATAAATAAATAAATAAATAAATAAATAAATGCCATTATCTGATTCCCATTCATAATTTGACTGTAAAATAAAACTCAAAGTTCACTATGATCTTAGTTTCTTTTTAGTAATTTAAACTATTTTAATGGGAGAGTAAATTTTTATACGGATCAATGCCTATGAAACTATAGAATGTTTGTTTCCTCTCTCTTCTAAATCCTTGCATGGCAGTGAACAATGGCTGATAAGCAGTTAGAACTCAATCCTCTCAGGAAAGGGGGCTCAGGACAAATACAATTATATTCGTTTGACATATTTATTTCTAAAAACCAGAAATAAATATATATGTGTGTGTGTATATATATATATATATATATATATATACACACACACATATATTTTTTGCTATGGGCAGTTGGTTTTTTGGATTTACCCAGTTTAATCATTTATCCTGTTCTGTTCTTGACAGTCACAGCTGTCAAAAATCCTCTTAAAATTGTCAGTCTTGGGTCAAAATGAAAATCTCTAGATTAGTGAAAAAAGTTAAAGTTTATATTTTAAAAGGGAAGAGGAAATCATGAATATTCTTGGGTCATGCTGTCAATATATTTAAAGGACATTAAATTCTTAGTGGAATCCAACAAGAAAAGGACAATGCTAAGATACCTAAAAACTAGGCTAAAAACTTTGTTTTAGAAAAACAAACTCCATGCTTCAAAGAGTTAATATTACATATATACACTCACACTACTTATACACATAAGTCTCCTAATGCATTACTTCCTACTTCCTAACAGATTATGATAATGGAGTAAAATAGTTTGATGAATAAGCTTTCAGTAATATTAATGAGAATTCTTAAAAAAATAAAGACTTTGTCTTTATTGACATTTTACACAGTTTGGCTTGTTAAGTGGCTGTAGAAATCAAATAAGGATTAAAAGAGGAAGGACTGACAATCTCATTGCAGATCAAGCAATTATATTGCTATTTTCGGGAATCCAGTGACAACAATTATTTCTTTACCTTAGCATATTGCCCCATGGTGTAGCTCACATATGGGACATAAATAGTCAGTGGTGTTATAATTTCATGTTTCCAGTTGTTAGAATGCTCACAGTTTTGGAGACTTTTGATTGCATGGTTCTTCTGTGAAGACAACAATGCCTTATAATCTAGTCTACTGGCTGAACACAAAAAATAGTAAGCACTAAGAAAAAAGTAACACCACAGTGGATTTTGTCACTAACCTTGCACATTCAAAGTGAACAAATACCTTTTTAGTGTAATCAGCATGTTCAGCTGGAAAGCTAGTTTTCAGTTTCATTAGCATTTTTAAAGCTTACACCAAGTAGCACTAATGGCAAATTGATGATTCTGTGTAATGGAGACTGCCTATAATTATATTTTAATCAGTAAATAACATTTAACAGCATTTTCTAACCTGATAAACGACCTTCAGTTAGTTGAGGAAGTCTTCACAGACAAGCTCATTGAAAGACAGCACTTAGCAATAGCAAATCAAATGCAGCCCTTCAATGAAGTTGTTAGACACACAACATCAGCAACTGCTGCCACACCGAGGGTTTGTTAAAAATCGATTCATTCTAGTGATCAAAGCTGAAAAATCGTTCCAACGCCTGCTTCATATCAATAGACAATTTTGTGCAGTACATCACACACACAAAAATAAGGTCTAGTAGAAGTAGAATGCATCAGAAATCTAGCTTCCAAAACAATATTTAAAATGGATTTCTTTGGGATGACAAAGGATGGGCTTAAATAGAATACAGTGTCAAGAAGAAAGGCTGAGACTTTTAACATAATAAAAACAATCAATGAAGTTCTTTTTCTAGTATCAATGTGCAAAAGAAAATGCAGGGGTCTGATTTTTTTAAATGGGGATGTGATGCACACCTCGATATGGCTTTGTATTTTAATGTCTTATCAAGGAATACTTTTATTCTGACTTCTGAGCATGTTTATATATGTGACTGTGTATGTATAGACACACACACATACATAAAATATCAATAAATTAACTACTTCATGGCTGATTATTTTCCTTTATTTCTTATATAAAACAAAGTTCAAATTGTTGAAACTGCCTAGATGTAGCCACATGAAAAGACAAATTAATTTTACAATGCAGTAAGGAGAAGTACATCAGATGTTCAAGTCTGTCATCTTTTAACTATAAGGTAAAAAACAGGTATCTTATACATTTATGTAGAAAATATTCCCCAGTTATTACTGTAAAAGCTTCAACTAAAATGAAACTACACATAGCTATTCCAGTAAGAATTGAGCAATCAGTCATAATTACAGCCAAAATAAACGAATTGGAAAATAGCTGTTTAAAGAGGTCATACATAGTCTAAGTTTTAATTTGAAATTAATACCAGCATGGCGTGCCTGGTAACAATTTCTTATTAAAATTGAATAAAGGCAGTGCCTGGAAGTAAATGTTTTCTATTTCATGGCTTCATCCTCCTGACCACTGGAAAGAATTTGAAGAGGATGGGAGACATGGTTATGGTGCTCTGTGGTCTCTTTCCAATTACAGGATAAAGGAGATTGCGTATGTTAATAATGGTATGGTAAGAGGTAGAGAAATCCTGAGGTTAATGCTGCTATCTTCCTCCCAGAACATCCTGTCTACAGATAGGCAAAACCCCATTATTTCAAAGCCTAGATATAAGCAGTTATGATCTATTTGTGAATATTTCAGGAGAGTCTACCCTTTGAGAAATATGTGTTCCTCTAAATCAAAGAGCACCTGGGCCCCCAACCCCTATAAGGTACCTTTACATTAAAGTTCATCCCAACACAGAGCACTGGCCATGCCTTAAGCTGTTACAGTTGGTGCATAATTATACTTCATGCCTCTTGTTTACTGTCTTTCCCATGGAATAAATCCTAACCATAACTAACTCTTTTCTAAAGCTCTGCATCTCATATTTCTAATAATGGGATACCCAAAACATGATTCTTGGAATTATGTATCTCATATTAATCTTAGATTGGATGTATCATAGAAACCATATTCCAATGAGTATTTTTCAACCCCCTGATTCGTTTAAAAATAGTTGATATCCACTCTACAATATATTAACCAGAATATGTGGTACATGATTTTCTCTTTCAATGTGGTCAATTAGCTGTTTCTAACTTCTGCTGCCTTGTCTTCAGCACTTACTGTGTTGTACTTCTATCTGTTTGTTGGTGGGTTTCTTTGTTTGAGTAGTCTCTGACTTTACTTCAATGTCATGAGCAGACAAAAGACAGAAGTTGTACCTATTGGTCATCAGAACATCAGCAGCCAGGGTAGAGTTTACACATAATAGGCACTCAGTAAATATTTGTTGAGTTAATAAATGACTTTACCTTCTCAAATCTACTTCCACAGTGCAAAAAGTCTATATGTTTATTCTATGGTGGTTCATCATAACTCTCCCTTCCTCTTTTGATGACCTTCCTCCAGCAATTTATGAGCCCCTCCGGATCTGCACCTCCTTTGGAACATTCTATTTATATTATCTGTCTTTCACTCTGACTTATCAACAATCTCCACCCCCAGCTTACTTTCCCAAGGTTACAACATAGTGTAGCCCTGCATGTATTTATCTCATTTGTGTCCAGAAATAGTGCTGAAATCATTGGAATGGTATAATAATGATAATAAAACTTACCACAAAAAAAAGAATGGCTCATGCAGGTAATCCCAGAACTTTGGGAGGCCAAGGCAGGCAGATCACTTGAGGTCAGGAGTTTGAGACCAGCCTGGCCAACATGATGAAACCCCATCTCTACTAAAAATACAAAAATTAGCTGGGCATGGTGGCACACACCTGTAGCCTCAGCTACTTGGGAGGCTGAAGTGAGAGAATCGCTTGAACCCAGGAGGCAGAGGTTGTAGCCTGGGCGACAGAGGGAAACTCTGTCTCAAAAAATAAAAAGAGAGAAAGAGGGAATAGGGAAAGGATCATCTCTGAAGGCTCTGAATGGCAGCTCTCATTACAATTTCGGAAATTCTTTTGAACAGATAGAGAAAATGTTAAAGAGAAGTAGAAGTCAAAACTCAGAATGGACATAGAAGGGGGAAAGGCCAGAAAAAAGCCAAGTTGCCTGACAAAAACATAAAAAGATTTGGTCCTTGTAGAATCAGAGAGTGTGGATGATTGAGGTGCGATATGAGGCTAAAAACCAAGGGATTACTTAAAACCTTACCAAGTGTTAAACTAAATTTGGACTGAAGACACACCCATATTTGAGCCCACACGTAACAAACTGCAACCTAACTTAGTACAGAAATTAACTGGAAGTCTAACGCAGCAGTATACTTTTTTTTTTTTTTTTTTTTTGAGAATGGAGTCTCACTCTGTCACCCAGGCTGGAGTGCAGTGGCGTGATCTCAGCTCACTACACAGCAGTATGCTTTTAAAATAAATAGCTGAGTCTCAGCCAATCACAGTAGCCAAGCTTCAGTCAATCACAGGTGGCCAACCAATCAGGCCACGGCCAAGTGAGACAAATGCAAATCCCAACCAATCAAGCTGTTTCTGTATTTAACTTCCATTTTCTGTCCACATTGTGGAGTGGAGCTTTCTGAACCTCTTCTGATTCTTAGGGCTATGTACTTCATGGATTGTTCCTTGCTCAGTTAAACTGTTAGATTTAATTTGTCTAAAGTTTCTACTTTAACACAACAGAGCTGTAGATCCCACACACACAGAACAGCAAAAGGGAAAAAAAGGATGCCTGGGGAGAGAGAAGAAAACAGAGTATTAGATCTTGGAGATTATCTGATGAACCTCCCTCACTTTTGGAGATGTCCTTCTTGGAAATTAGCTAAACCACACAAGTTAGCATATGTGCTGGGACAGGACTGTTCCTTGCCTCAACTCTGCTGCTAGAATGGATACGATGGTCAGGGGTGAAGCAAAAAGATATCCTCAGATTAAATGATTTTTGAAAAGATGAATGGGCCCTTAGAAGAATAGATGATGGTTTGTGATAAGGTCTGTTTGGCTGTGGTGGACCTCTAACCTCCTCTTCTGTGATAAAAGTTAATCTTTGGACAATTAATAGCAATTTAGTTCCTTTTGTAGGATCTCTTTAGGCAAATGGAGGGCACTCAGAAAGCCTATGCATTTTGCTGTTTTCAAGTGCTTTCAGCACTAGAAAGTAATCAATATACCAAAAATATGTAAACCAATATATAAATTTTGGGGTGATATTTTACTAAATCCTTCAAAGGCTAGCTTTGTTTAATGAGCAATGTAAGCATAATTGTTAAGAACAAGTACATTACGTGAATGTGGCATCAAAGTTTTTTTTTTTTTTTTTTTGAGACAGAGTCTCATTCTGTTGCCCAGGCTGAAGTGCAGTCATATGACCTCGGCTCACTGCAACCACCGCCTCCTGGGTTCACATGATTCTCCTGCCTCAGTCTACCCAAGTAGCTGGGATTATAGGCATGTGCCACCACACCCAGCTACATTTTGTACTTTCGGTAGAGATGGTGTTTCACCATGTTGGCCAGGCTGGTCTTGAACTCCTGACCTCAGGTGATCCACCCACCTCGGTCTCCCAAAGTGCTGGGATTACAGGCATGAGCCACCGCACCTGGTCAAAGTTTTTCAATAAACCAATCATGGTTTAAAAAATCTTTTTCAGAAATTTGAAATTTTGAAGTATATTATGTTAAATTAAGTAATGGATATTTGTGAAATGTCTGAGTCATTTCGAAGTAAGTTAAAATACTGAAACAGTAATTGCTGAACAAGTTTTAAGTATATAATTTTCAGCATCTTGTTTTTTTATGATATAGAAAAGTTAAATATATTTCAGTCTGTTAGCAAACATGAAAAATTGTTCTAGGAGGAAGCACATATTTTTAGAAATTATAAAATGTATATTCATAAAATGTTCATATATGAAAATTCAAAATTGCTTTACTTCCTGGGTTTTCACTATAAATTAACATTACTAAGAGTTACAAATTCTAATCAACAGGTATGGTCATTAAAATTAGAAACAATATAAGGGAAACAACTCTACATGTGAGGAAAGTGAGATATGTTTTTGGTAAGTGAGGCTATGAGGTTTGGAAGATGTGTTTTTGTTAAGAGAAAACAAGAGTATTTTTTTGTCCTAAATTAGATTCACTGGTTGTTCTAAAATGAGAAAGAGAAAAAGTATAGAACAAATAACAAATAACTAAATAACAAAATTATAGAAAAAAAGTATGAAGGGATATAAGAAGGCTGCAGAAATTTTCTGAAAGTGTAATCTTTTGAAAGGAATTTTATGTGTGATCAAGCTGGCTATAATAGTAGAAAGAAACTATTGATGAGTTTTCTAAAAATTGAGCATTAATATAAAAAGGACACTGATGCAAAATTAGAATTTGGTCTCCTGTGCTAAAACAAGTTTTTGGAGTACTGATCTGCTCTTAATAGGAAATTGTGAGAATTTTTTCTTTATCTTTTAAGTAATTGGCCTAGAAAACAAAGATTCTGGGGTTTATCAAGATGATTTCCTGTGCTTAGTGTTGTCTCTATTAAAAACTTAAGGTTTATCCTATAACTATGAAACTTCCTGTGATTGCCTTTGAAATATTTAATTATCACTGGTTAAATAAATGACTATTATTTCATAGTAACCTGTAATGCTATTTTAATCAAATGTTTAAAGCTTTGATATTTTTGACAAACTCCTTCAAATAAAATTTTAAATTCTCTTCTTGATCTCAAATTAACTTTGGGATTTTCCCAATAAGCCCTTGGAACTTCTCAAAGAGATTTGTCTCTCTCCTTATAAAAAGAGAGGTGTTAACTAGTTGGGCTTACTTGGTATATTAAACTATACGAAAAGCATTGTCAACTAATAAGTGATACTAAACTTTGCGTTATATTTGTATAGATGTGTGAGTAGTATGTGTTCTCGAAATTGTATGAAATTTCTAAAAATCTGATCATACCATTGTACTGGGTAAGAATTCCTAGAACCTAATGAAGAAACTAATTTTATAAAACTGCTAACCAAATGTCAAGCAGAACAAGAATTCATTGAAACCAAGGAAATGCTTTGGCAGATTTTCATGCTAAGTCAGCCAGTACTGAAATTGTTAATATATACAATTAGAATGAACTCCATAAGACTGATACAAATTGAAATCCTATTTAAAAAATCCTAACAGAGAGGCCATTAGACTGAGACAGTCCCGGTGCTTTAGGTTCCTATGGAAGCAAACCAGAGCCCAGTATAAATAGTAAAATGAAACTAGAAACTTTACCAATCAGAAACTGCTATCCAATCTCTGACTAGGATCTTGCCACTCTAAGCCAATCAAGCACATTTTATTTGTCTTCCCTCAACATAAAGCTCCTTGCCCATGCTGCTGCAGTGAAGCACTCTGAAAATCTTTTTATTCTGAGTACTATATAATTCATGAATTATCCTTTGCTCAAATAAACTCTATTATATTCATTTTGTCTAAAGTTTTTCTTTTATCAGTTTTGATGTATAAGTGAGATTCAAAGGAGATCTCTGATGATCCCTAGTAAGACTAAGTGACCAGGTGAGGTGCCCTGGGAATCCACCGTGCTCACTGCTCTCTTGTTTGTAACTGAAGGCAGTGGTAGACTGAGTTACACTGATTGTGTTTTGAACTCTCTGGACTTCATCTGACCAATTCTTAGAATGGACAGGGTCCAGAATCAGATTGGATTCAATGATTAACTGGATGAAATTCAGTTAAAGGCCTTGAAAAGGTATTTTTTGATAACAGGTTTTTCTGAATCAAAGGAGTCTGATACTCTACTTTCTGGGACTCCAACAAATATTATGTATAAGAATTATAGACCCATAATTTGTATATTTTTAGAAAAATGGATTAAGCTTATCAAAGATAATTTAGAATTAGAGTATCAGAGTAGCCACAATAAGAAGGTTTTTATTATTATTATTATTATACTTTAAGTTTTAGGGTACATGTGCACAATGTGCAGGTTAGTTACATATGCATACATGTGACAAGCTGGTGCACTGCACCCACTAACCCGTCATCTAGTATTAGGTATATCTCCCAATGCTATCCCTACCCCCTACCCCACCCCACAACAGTCCCCAGAGTGTGATGTTCCCCTTCCTGTGTCCATGTGTTCTCATTGTTCAATTCCCACCTATGAGTGAGAATATACGGTGTTTGGTTTTTTGTTCTTGCGATAGTTTACTGAGAATGATGATTTCTAATTTCATCCATGTCCCTACAAAGGACATGAACTCATCATTTTTTATGACTGCATAGTATTCCATGGTGTATATGTGCCACATTTTCCTAATCCAGTCCATCATTGTTGGTTTTGTTGTTGTTTAGAGATAGAACTTCATTCTGTTGCACAGGCTGGAGTGCAGTGATGTGATGTCAGCTCACTGCAACCTCTGTCTCCCAGGTTCAAGATATTCTCCTGCCTCAGCCTCCCAAGTAGCTGGGATTACAGGTGTGTGCTACCATGCCCAGATAATTTTTGTATTTTTAGTAGAGATGGGGTTTTGCCATGTTGGCCAGGCTAGTCTCAAACTCCTGGCCTCAAGTGATCTGCTGGCCTTGACCTCCCAATATGCTGGGATTATAGGTGTGAGCCACTGTGCCCAGCCAAGAAGGTCTTAACCTAGGTAAAACTGGTCACTTGTGGGGCACATTAAAAAAGAAAGGATCCAAAACTCCTCAAAAGCAATGTGATATATTTTTCAATTGGTACGCAGAAACGTCTACCAGATTAAATGAATCAAAAATTGCCTTTCTAAAATCTTCCTTCTCTAAGGCAAATGAAAAGCTTAAGCAACAAACTGAAAACATTACATAAAAGGACTGTACCTTGACTGAATTAACCCTGACTATTCATTCACTTTGTCCTTACCTATATATTCTGAGTCCACTAACCCTTTTGCTCAACTACCTTTTTACCCTGAAGATAATGGCCAAAAGGAAGTCAAACAAATGCCTTACAAAGTGAAATCTTCTGATCAGTCAGGCCTGCCTTCTGTAACCACCTTTACTCCATGTTCTAAAACTGAGCTTACAGCCATGGCAAAAGACTTCCCTAACCCAGAGGAAAACCTCTAGAAATTTACTGAAAAAGTCAGAATCCTTATTGGAGCATATGATCCAGGAATCCCTGATCTTTATCAATTTATTCATATGATATTGGGACCCTGTGAAACTCACAAACAGATGGTAGAAGTGGAATCGGAAAAACTCAAGAATATTAAAGACCCCTAGAATATCTCCTTGAGAGGAGGGCCAAAAGGAGCTGGAAATAATTGCTGAAAATCTTTTATATTCAGTTCCTAAGAATTTTCCAGATTGATTGGTCCATCATACAATCTTATAGAAAAAAAAAAACAGGATGAACAAGTTTGAACTGGTTTCAGATTACAGTCTGTTTAGAAATAATATTTATTTAACATTCCAGGGGGCCAGGGGGCCAGGGGGCCAGGGGGCCAGGTGTGGTGGCTCATACTTGTAATCCCAGCACTTGGGAAGGCCGAAGCCAGTGAGTTGCTTGAGCCCAAAAGTTCAAGACTATCCTGGGCAATCTGGTGAAACCCCATCTCTACAAAAACTACAAAAAATAGCTGGGCCTAGTGGCATGCACCTGTAGTCCTATCTACTTGGGAGGCTAAGGCAGGAGGACTGCTTGAGCCCAGGAGACAGAGGTTGCAGTGAACTGAGATCGAGCCACTGTACTCCAGGCTGGGTGACAGAGTGAGACCCTGTCTCAAAACCAACCAACCAAACAAAACACATTCACACACACACACACACACACACCACACACACACACACACACACACACACATACTCTTCAGGCTTGAAATACAACAAGGGATGTTTTCTACAAGGATTGAAATAGCCTTAATTGCTCTGTTCATAAATGGACTTTGCCCTGAATTTAGTGGCTTAATTAGAAAACATAAACCAGGATGGGAAATTATATATATATGATTGAATTAGTGTCCCTAGCTGAACATTTTGTACCCTAGCCGAACATTTTGAGAAGATTCTAGAATAAGGGAATAATCAAAAGGCAAATAGGCTCATGTCTTTACAGTTACAACAACTACAGGAACCAAGAGGATTTCTTTGTGTGCATTGTAAATCAAAATCAAGAGGTCCCAAACTTAAGAAACCTGTGGATTGAGATGTCTTTACTGTAAACAGCCATGCCACTGGAACAGAAACTGTCCACTCTGACACTAGCCATCTGATACACCCATTTATTTTTGCCGAGACTTTCTCTACTTCAGGAAGCCCCCTGGGGTTTGACTCCCAGAATAATCACCAACACTGATAGGGCTTCAAGAAATTCTCCCCTAAACTGCCTCGCATAATACCTCTGAATGAACAAAACAAAACTAAGATTAAGATTAATGGGGGAATATTGTACATTATTGATAGAAAATTTATCTACTTTAAACCCCATCCTCATAAATCAATGAATCCCTCAAAGTAAAGAGAATGTTTCTGTGGTGGGGTTTGAAATCAAGTGCAATAGGTCCCTATGTCTGAACCTGTCCAATTGACACTTGGACCATTTTCAGAAGAACATATCTTCTTACTACATGATACTGCCTCAATGCATCTACTGGGACAAGACTTGCTCTCGAAATCAAGTAGTCACATAAAATTTTCTTCAGAAGGAGATAGAATCTTCAAATTTCCTAACTCTTCTAAACCTGAATTTTTCTGTTTCCTATAGGCATAACATGTAGGTAACATGGAAGCTCAAACCTATATAAACCCTGACCTTTCTGAAGTACCTAAGTATTTGTGGGCTTCTTCAACTGAAACAGGAAAAATTAAAGGTGCTGAACTTATAAAAATCCTAGTAGATTATTGTAAGCCCCTACCTAAATTGCCTCAATGCCCACTAAAACCAGTAGCTATTTAGTAGTTCTCACCATCATAAAGGACTTAAATAAAGACTTACGATTTCTTGCACTAGCCCTTATAACACTCCACTCCTACCAGTTAAAAACTCAATGGATGAAATTGTTCAAGATTTCCATATAGTAAATAAGATTGTAATACCAAGATTTCCAGTGGTTCCAAACTCTATTTTTTTTGTCTAATGTAACCACACATTCGAAATGTTTGACAGTAGTGAGTCTTTGCTCAGCCTTCTTTAGTACTCCAGTTGATAGAGTCAGTACTTACGTGTCTTTACTTGGGAAAATCAACAGTGTATTTTGATTGTAATGCTACAGGGGTTTACTGAAGTGCCATCCTATTTTTCTCAGATATTGCATCAGGATTTGGCAAACTTAAATTCCCTAGGAATTCTACTCTTGTTGTTGTTTTTTTGTTTTTCTTTTTGAGACGGAGTCTTTCTCTGTAGCCCAGGCTGGAGTGCAGTGGCACCATCTTGGCTCACTGCAAGCTCCTCCTCCTGGGTTCATGCCATTCTCCTGCCTCAGCCTCCTGAGTAGCTGGGACTACAGGTGGCCGCCACCACGCCCGGCTAATGTTTTGTACTTTTAGTAGAGACAGGGTTTCACTGTGTTAGCCAGGGTGATCTCGATCTCCTGACCTCGTGATCCACCCACCTCGGCCTCCCAAATCATGCTGGGATTACAGGCATGAGCCACCGTGCCCAGCCAGGAATTCTACTCTTAATGAATAAGTAGATGATCTACTGCTGTGCTCTCTTACTAAAGAAGGTCCAGGAATAGATTCAACTTACTTACTACAACAACTAGCTTACAAAGGGCATAAGGCTTCTATGGGAAAGCTACAGTTTTCCAGAAAAAAAAAGGTTCATTATTTGGGAAATAATCTGACTGCAGAAGGAACTCCCTCTCACTTGAAAGTTTCCTAAGAACCATGACTAAAAGACAATTAAGCGTTTCTTTGGACTTGTAGGTATTGTAAGTCTTGGGTCCAAATTTTTTTGTTTGGCACCTCCCTTTTATTAATTTACAAAATACTTTGTCCCAGAGTCTTTACCTTGGGAGAACAACCATGAGCAGGCCTTCAGCCAATAAAAACTGGCCCTACAACAACTTCTCATCTCAGAACTCTCAAATTACATCAAACCTTTCACCTTGCTTATTTATGAACCTGACAGCCAACTTTAGGAGTTCTTGCTAAAAACATGGAGGAAAACACAGACCCATCCATCATTTATTATAGCCTGCAATTAGACTCAGCAGCTATTGATTAAAGGCAGTAGCAGCAGCAGTCAGATTGGTAGAGGTTTCACCAGAGCTAGTTTTAGGACATAAACTTTATTTTCAAGCTCCACATGTTGTGGAAAGACCATTAAATTTCATTCAAACTCAAGATTTCTCAACAAGCAGACTAACATCTTGAGAAATTATTCTTCTGCCTCTTCATAGTCTCCATCTAAAATACTGCAAACTACTTAATCCTGCTACTTTACCATCCTTTTCTAGTGATGATGAGGACCACAATGGTGTAAATGTGAAATCATAGCTATTGACCCCTCACACTGATTTATAGGATGCTCCATTATATAGTTCTGGTCTAATACTTTTTTTTGATGGATCTTAAGCCAAAAATTCAGAAGGAAAATACCAAGCAGTATGTGCTATGACAACTCAATATAAACTAATAGAAAAGGAAACTCTTCCCCAATTTAAGTCAGCCCAACCAGCAGAATTGTATGTTTTTATTTAGGCCTGTGAAACATCTAAGGGCAAAACAGTCAACATTTATACATATAGTAGACATACCTTTGGGGTGGTCCGTAATGTTGTCATATTATGGAAACAAAGAAGATTCCTCACTTCTAGTAGGACCTCAATAAAAAAAAAGTGACCCCAAGTGAATGAGCTTCTTTCTGCTGCTTTGTGGCCCTCACAAGTTACTATTATTAAAATTGAAGCTCACACTCATAAAACTGACCCTGAATATGGAGAAACTGCCCTAGTGAATTTCCATGATAAGTTAGCTATTTCTGAAAGTGTTTGTATATGCCATTTAAATGAATTTCATAAGATTGATTCAAATAACCTATGATAATGTATTTAATAAACAATGTCCTGCACCTAAATTAGAAAAGCAAAGTTGGCACCTAAAAAATACAAACGCAGTACTAAATATGGACTCACTGAGGGCCCAGACAACTGCCTGGTCCTCCCTGAGTCCTTAAAATCACTGCAATTAAAGGCTCTATACTCCACAACTCACCATAGTGTAGACAAAATGGTACAAATTATGAAAAAGTATTGCTGAAGTGATTGTTGCAAAAACAGTTTATAACCAATGTCTGATTTGTCAGATTCATAATCCTGGAAAAACAATTAAGGTTTCTGGCACTATACTACAATCACCTGCTGGACCACTGGAACACCTCCAAGTACACTTCATTCAGCTGCCACCCTCAATGAGTTATCAGTATGTTCATATAATTGTATGCCTGTTCTTGGGATAGATTGAGGCCTTTCCCTGCAGGAAGGTCAATGACACAAAAGAAGCAAAAAAATTACTAGAGAATGCATTTCCCTTATGGAGTGCCCCTGGAAAGATTTTCAGTGATAGAGAAACTCATTTTATTGGACAAATTATTAAACAACTAAATTAAGATGTACAAAATGGCACTAGCATTATCCTTATCATCCCAAGTCTTCTGCAAAGGTTGAATAAACAAATGGTATCCTAAAACTAAAATCGGCTAACAGAATCTATTAGATTTCCTTGGCAAAAAGCATTACTACTAGCTTTAATGGCAATTAGATATACCCCTACTGAAAATCAAAGCACAGGTTGACACCTTATGAAATAGTAAGTGAAAGACCTATGCCCTTAACAATTAAACCTGAAGTATCTTGAAACCTCTGGTATAATTCAGTATTGCAAGGCCTTGATACATATCAAAGTATACTTCCACCAGGTAAAAGAAAGCCTACCATGACCCATTGATCAATCAATAGATTTTCCATGACCTACAACCTAGAGATTGGGTCTTTTGGAAATGATACCAAGGGAAGGCTTCCCTTGAGCTTCACTGGAAGGGAGCATATTATGTTCTTCTCACCACTCACACTGCAACAAAGCTTCAAGGCCTTAAGTCTTAAATTCATGTTTTTCAACTTAACTCAGACTTTTGGAAATGTACACCAGCTGACGATGTTTCACTAAAACTCACCATGAAAATCTCTCCCCAGAAGTAGATGGTACCTTGAATGAAGACTATTTTCCTAAGATCATGGATCAAGAATCTCCTCTCCCTATTATTAAGCCCCTATTTTTTTCTCTCCTATTTCTTGTTCTTCCTTTCTATCTGTGGGTGGCAAAATTATGTCATAATTGGAATATCACAGTCAATAGCTTCTGGAGGAAATTTAATAAAATGCTGGATTTGCCATGCTAAGCCAAAATCCTCCTATGATTTTAGAGATCCTTTAGTTCACATTGTGACTGAATTTCTAGACCCATTTATTCTTTTTTTTTTTTTTGAAAAGGAGAAAGAAAATGTTTATTATTTTTAAATTATATTATCTCCATATAAAATCCAATAAGTTTGGTGTACAAACTTTTATTATTAATAAAATACTTCAGCAGACCCATTTATTCTTATACTTGTTTTAATCTAACCCAACCATGGACTAGGATGGCCAATGTCCAAGTTAGTTGGCTATATTATATGGAGGCTACCTGGTTAAAAAACAACAACAAAAAAAGGACTTTAATAGACTCTTTTGCAAGAATTTGTATACACCTATGTATTTTTGCAGACTTCCAGTATGTGGTAACTCAGTATCAGACTCTTGGTTAGAAATGATCAGTGCCTCCATTGTAACTAATACCTCCACAAATAAAATTACCCAAGGAGAAGCCTTATATGCACCCCTGTGGTACATCTTTATCTGTGGAGGTTATTTAACTCTCAGCCATATGCTTGGGCCACCCCATGCCTTGACAGAGAATGAAAGGCCAATGCACACTAAGTATTTTAATAGTATCATTGTCATACTACAACCAATCAGAAGCTAAACACGGATCCACCCCTCTAAAACTACATCATAGATTAAAAAGAAACTTACAGCAGATGTCAACCCTACCAGGTGGGCATCATTTTTTAGGTATCTTTCCCTGTGGCTTGGGGTGAATGCAAATAACATGATGATCAGAAATTTGTCTTTGACATAAGTTACTATAGCTGACTCTACATCTAAGGCTATGTTTGCCCAAGAAAAATCTCTAAATTATCTTACTTAAGTTGTTTTAGATAATCAGATTGCATTGGACCATCTATTGGCTGAAAAAGGAGAAGTCAGTGCAATAACTAACATATCCTGTTATATCTGAATAAATACCTCTTGTATTGCAGAAACTCAATTACAATAAGTTAACAGGCCACATGGCTAAAACAAGTTGAATCCCTCTCTGGTTGATTCTTTGACTTATTTTATTTTAGCTGGTTTGGTTCATTAGGAACTAAAGAGAATATGTTGGCATCTTGATATTATCCTCCTGACAGTCATCATTACAATCACCTTTGTGCACTGTATTCTCTCAAGAGTCTTAAACACATGTCCACAGCCATCGATGGTACATCAGATGGTCTCACTGCAATTAGAGTACAAAAATGAAATAAAAGGAACCTTTCTTTAACAAGCCTGACGTCATGACTTACAAGTTCCTCACTGAGAAAAAGACAACCCAGCCACGATGGCAGCAGGGAGTGGTGCTTATGCCTATATTTTGGTCAGTCTCATAAATGAGAAGATGAAAAAAGGGGGAATTGTTTCTTTTTTAAAAAAAATCCTAATATAGAAACCATTACACTGAGACAGCCCCAGTGCTTTAGGTTCCTATAAGCAAACCAGAGCCCAATGTAAAGACTATAATGAAACTAGAGACATTATCAATCAGGAACTACTGTCTAACCTCTGACTAGTGT
This sequence comes from Homo sapiens, assembly GCF_000001405.40. Lineage (NCBI taxonomy): Eukaryota > Metazoa > Chordata > Mammalia > Primates > Hominidae > Homo > Homo sapiens. Next base: position 168,562,325 of record NC_000003.12, on the reverse strand, counting down.
CTTTCTACTCTAAACTAATCTAGTATATTTTACTTGTTTTCCCTCCATGTGAAGAAAGCTCACTACCCGCATGGCTGTAGCAGAGTACTCCGAATCTCTTTTGATTCTGAGCACTACCCAATTCATAAATTGTTCTTTGCTCAAATACACCTATTAAATTTATTTTGTCTAAATTTTTATTTTAACATTACCTAAGATAACTTACTTAAGAGTGCTATGCACCTGAATTGGAGAAACAAAACTGATACTTAGAAGGATGTAAATTCAATGTTCAGCATGGACTTATGGAAAGTCTGGATGTCGGCCTGGTCTTTTCTGAGTCCTTACAGCTTCCATTGTTAAAAGTTCTGCCCTCTATAACTCGTCATGGAGTAGACAAAATGATACAAATTACGAAAAAATATTGGTGTGGTGACTGTTATAAAATTACTGAAATAATTCATAACCAATGTTTGGTTTGTCAAACTCATAATTCTGAAAAGACAATCAAAACCACAGGGGGCACATTTCTGCTACCTAATGGGCCATTTCAACATTTATAGAGATTCCATTTAATTGCTACTTCAGTGGGATATGAATTTTTTTTTTTTTTTTTTTTTTGAGATGGAGTCTCACTCTGTCGCCCAGGCTGGAGGCATGATCTCGGCTCACTGCAAGCTCTGCCTCTTGGGTTCACACCATTCTCCTGCCTCAGCCTCCTGAGTAGCTGGGACTACAGGCGCCTGCCACCACGCCCGGCTAATTTTTTGTATTTTTAGTAGAGACGGGGTTTCACTGTGTTAGCCAGCATGGTCTCGATCTCCTGACCTCGTGATCTGCCTGCCTCGGCCTCCCAAAGTGCTGGGATTACAGGTGTGAGCCACTGCACCCGGCCCTGTATTTTTTTAAATAGTTTATGTTCCCTAGTTGGAACTGTCAACGCAGGAAGTCCAATACTATAAGAGTAGCTAAAAGGATATTCAAAAATGTGTTTCCCTTATGGGGCATTCCTGGCAAAATCTCCAGCAGTAGAGGTATCCATTTTACTGGATAATTTATAAAGCAATTAAATAAGGTGGTATGAACACAATGGAATTACCATCATCTCTTTCACCCTCAGTCTTCTAGAAAGGTTGAAAGAACAAATGGTATCTTAAAACTGAAACTGGCAAAGTTAACTGAATTGATTAGATTGCCTTGGCTAAAGGTATTAATATTGGCCTTGATGGCAATCAGATCCACCCTCAGAGGAAAACATAAGTTGACCTCTCATGAAATAGTCACTGAAAGGCCTCTGTCCTTAATGATGGGACCTCATGTATCTCTTGGTCTCCTAAACCCTGATATGACTAAATGCTCTAAGGCTTTAATGCATTTTGCAAAAGTGTATTTTCACCGGGTAAAGGAAGCTTTTTATAATACACCAACTGAGAACAATCAAATCTTTGAAGATCTAGAACCTAGAGATTGGGGCTTCTGGAAATGACCTCAAAGAAAGACTGCCCTTGAACTCCATTGAAAGGGATCATACCAACTTCTTTTCACCGCCCTCACTGCAGCAAAACTTTGGGGGCTCAAACCTTGGGTCCACATCTTACAACTGAAAATGACCCTCCAGACTCTTAGAGCTGCACACTCATTGGAGACTTTTAGGGAAAGCCGACCAGGGAAGTTTCTCTGCAGAAGCAAATGGCATCCTAGATATGAATGGCTTTCCAAAGATTACAGACAAAGGCTTCTTTTCTATGCCATTATGAAAGGACTACCCTTTTTCTTTTTTCCTCATTTGCTGCTGTCCTAATCTTTTCCTTTTCTCTGCAGAAAAATCTGTGGAACCACAATTTGTGGATGAATTTTTTTTTTTTTTTTAGTTAAGGTTTATGTTCTAGCAAAAAACTGGAGCAATTGTTGGGTTTGTAAAGATAATCTAGTTTCCAATGAGGAAAGACTCCAATGAGGTTACTGAGGGCTCACTCTTGGGTAGTAGTGGAGTACCGGTAGTACGGAATTTGAAACTAATCTGTAAACTGGAAAAAAATCTTGGACTTTGTGGCCAACAAGGCCTCCTAGGGGTTCATACTGATAGAAGTCACTCTCTGAATGGTGGATAAAAACATACATGTTCAGCAAAAAGCACTTAATGAAACATCATGCAGTTTTAGATTTCCTTTTTTGTCATGCTGGGGGCTTGTGTAAGGTATTGAACAAAACTGAATGCTGTATCTATATTTCCCCTTATTTTGCTACTACAGAAAGCATAATTTAAAAGTTGGCTGAAACCTCTGTTTTTTAAAACCCTGACATCAAATAATCAAGGAAATTTCTCAAGAGATAAGAACACACAATGTGTTTATAGGAACCACTAATAGTTGGTTTGTAGACATCCTAAGTGGTGAGTGGCAAGCTTGGCTTTTCCAAGGTTTTCTAATGTTTATATCTTCTAGTGGGTCTCCAGGTGACTATAACTTAAAATAACTGGTTAATGACAAAACTGTATTCCTCTTAAATCAGACCATTCCACAGTGGACTGTGGTCTTTAATCACCATCACATCCTGAACACCGACTATGATCAATTGGACTCAAATACTACTGAACTTTCTATATTAGCTGAACTTCAATGTGCTTGATTTTGATCAGTTCAGTTTGTAGGGGCTTCTGTTGTGCAGTATACTTAAGTCTTTTGGTATTATTATCCTAATGATCATTATATAATAGTCCCCATGATGTGTGGTCTCCTCTCAAGTATTAAATTTTTGTATGCAGCCATCTAGCAATCCTTGAATAGTCTCACTTTGATTAGATCATCAAGATCATAAAGAATTATTGAACTCACTTGGAAATTCCGTACTGAGACCAAATAAGTCAATTTATGATGGTAAGAGAGAGTAGAATCCATGTCCAAGGTTTTGGTCAAATCTCTCAAAATTGAGAGGCTGACCAAAAGGGGAAGATTCTTCAACTAAATTTGGCCTGTGAATGCCTCTGTACTTGACTCTTCACATAATAAAATGCAACCTAACAGCACTGAAACTAACTTGAAGCCTAACACAGCAGTATACTTTTGTAATAACTAGCTGGATCTCAGTCAGTCCCAGTAGCCAAGCTTCAGTCAATCACAGATGGCCAACTGATCAGACCACGGTGAGGCGAGACAAATGCAAATCAAAACCAAGCAAGCTGTTTCTGTACTTCACCTCCATTTTTTATCCACAAATGCTGCCTGCCCACACTGAACTGTACCTTGCTCAGTTAAACTCTGCTATATTTTTCTAAAGTTTTTACTTTAATACAACAGAGCTACAGATCTCCCTTCCCCGCACAGAACAGCAGAGTGGGTGGGGAAGATACACAAGGAGAGAGTAGAGTACAAACAGAGTACAAGATCTTGGAGATCATCTGGTGCACCTCCCTCACTTTTATAGTTGAGCTTCCTGGAAATTAGCTGAATCACACAAGTCAGTATATGTGCAAAGACAGGAGCATAGAACTCTCATCTCAACTCTGGAATACCTTCTACTGTACCTCTGGGTCTCTAGTTTAAGAGGCTTGCTTGCCCTCAATGCTTAACATTTTCCTGAAGAATGATGGAGAGAATATTTTTGACAGTCTCTTTGCTACAAGAGCAATTCATATGAGATAAGAAGAAAATTATTTCCTACTTCCCTGACGAGATTTTTAAATAGTCATGGATCACAAAACCATGCCCAAAAGGCCTTTCTAAAACTGTAAAGAGGTAAAAAAAAGACTGCTACTGACAGGTTGAAGTAATGTTTTTGAATGAACACATCAGTTTTCTAGACTTTGGCATAATGAAATATATACTAGATGAGTTATTTAGAAAAATGTGGCAACTTCACTCGGTTGAAGTTTCCTTAAATAAACGGAGAAGCATATCATCTACCTGAAAGTGTAACTAAAGATTAAAGTAAAAACCCACATAAAATGTTTGAAGGCATCCTTAATACATAGTGTGCTCTTATAATATTAGTTTTTGTTTCCAAATGAATGCATATTATTTTACAGTACTCTGGGCTCTCTATACAGTGAGCTTATTTAGTAGATTAATATTTGCCTTGGAAGACTTTTGTCCTTAAAGAGATCATAGATTTTTAAATTAAAAAAAATTAATGATTATGGGTACATAGTAGTTGTATATGTTTTTGGCATACATGTAGTGTTTTGATACAGGCATATAATGTGCAATAATCAAGTAAATTGGAGTATTCATCACAACCATTTATTATGTATGTGTGTTAGGAACATTCCAATTCTACTCTTTCAGTTATTTTTAAATATATAATAAATATGCTTAACTATAGTGGCCCTATTGTGCTACAAAATACTAGACCTTATTCATTCTACATAATTGTATACCTGTACCCATTAACTATCCCCACTTTACCTTTCCTCCCTACTACCCTTCCTAGCCTCTTGTAACCACCACTCTACTATCTCCATGAGTTCAAAATTTTTTAGCTCCCACATGAGTGAGAATATACAATATTTATCTTTCTGTGCCTGATTTATTTCACTAAACATACTGTCTTCCTGTTCTGTATAAATAAAAGGACTTCATCTTTATGGCTAAATAATACTCCTTTGTGTAAATGTACCATATTTCCTTTATCCATCAATCCATTGATGGACATTTAGGTTAATTCCATGTCTTGGCTATTGTGAATGGTGCTGCAATATATATGGGAAGAAGATAACTCTTTGATATACTTTTTTATATATATATATATACCGAGAACTGGGATTGTTGGATCATACGGTAGTTCTATTTTTAGTTTTTTGGGGGAACTCCATATTCTTCCCCCTAGTGGTTGTGCTAATTCACATTACCATTATATTTATATCAATTTTATCAGCATGAGCTCTTGAAGCAAAAAACAAAATTCCTTAAATCTTAAACAACGTATTTTACCTAGTGCAACTCTCTCTCCAATATATACTGAAATGCCTCAAGAAGTAAAGTGGCTCATCTATTATCATACAGTCAATAAGAGGCAGAGATAGCACTTGAACCTAATATTTTAAGTTCAAGTACAGAGTTCTACATTGCCCCAGTTAAATTAACAAGGTCTCTGCACTCCAGCCTGGGCGACAGAACGAGATTCCGTCTCAAAAAATAATAATAATAATAATAATTAACAAGGTCTCAGTTCCTTTACTATTAAAAAAGATAAAAAGAGAAAAAAGGAATGTGCCAATGTCATGATTCCTTCCAGTATAAAAATGCTAGAACTTGAATAAAAGAAAATCAACATTTTTTAAGCACCTAGCAAGTACCAGGCCCTGTGCAGATTATTTGGAGGATAATTTTACTCCTGTATATGAGTGTGATCCTACTGCTTACTTATATGAGAAATGCAACTATAAATTGCATCATATTTCTTACAGGAAACTTGAGCTGTTTTTAAATCTATATAAATCCCAGCATTAAATGATTAGGAGAACAATGTGGCAACATGAAAAAAATTCTGATAGTATGATATTAAGTGAAAAATTAATATATACTATTGCATATTCTCTACAATTAGAACTCTGGGTACTGACATAGGAATTTCTTGGGTACAGAAGCAAGTCTTCACCCTCATCTCAGTATGCTTGTGCCTATTCCAAGAAGCATATGTTACATTAAAAAACATTCAGTTAAATAGAAAAGAAAATGAGGCTGTTCCTAGTAAAAGTCTGAACAAATACACAAAAATTATAGTGGTTGTTCCTGGAATATCGTAGTATGTTATATATGAATTTTCCTTCTGTTTTTACCTTTTCACTAAATTGGAGGTATAAGAAAAGACTGCTCTTAATTGCTGACTTTCAATTCAACCTATTGAAGGGTTGAAAAGAATGAGGTGTGATGTTTCCAATTCCATATTTTCTTAGAGAGAATATGTCAGTTTTCCTTAACTTTCTAACTGAAAGAAATTAGTCAGGAGCAGGGAGAGTCTATGCTTTTCTAATATGTACTTCTTTCCTATACTACATTATTGTGCATCAATTTTTATTTTTCAAGAATCACAGTGTCAATCAGGAAAGGACACAGCCAACTGAAAATAATGTTATCCTGTAGAAAATGGAATGACATTCATTAAAATGGTCACAGTGACAGATAATGCATGTTTTAACATTTCTTCACCATTTATTTTTAGATTTTTTTTCCATTCAAATGTAAGAAAACAACAATAGAATGAGACAGGAACAAGAAATGTTATAACCAAGCAGAGCCCTAGCCTAGCTCACTATGTCTGCTTCCTCTGGGTACATTCAGACAATACAAAAACATCGTACTGCATGGAAAATCTTATGGCATTAGTAAGAAAAATTATCCAGAACAGACAAAAGAATGGCAGCAAGCCCTTTCAGTGTCACACTGGAGCACTATCAGGCCTGTACAAAGGTGATTTAAGTCTCTAGGGTAGTGTCTCTCAACTTGAGAACCACTGATATTTTGGCCGGGATAATTTTTTCTGGGGGTATGAGAGGAGGCAGAAATAACTGATATTTTTATATTATAGGATGTTTAGCAGCATCCTTAGACTGTATGCTGGATGATGGTCGCACCCTCCAGGTGCCAAGACCAAAAATGTCACCAGACTTTGCCAAAAAACCCTAAGGGGAAAAATTACCTGGGTTCCCAAGAACCAGAAAATACATCATTGTTTTACTTACCATTTACTATTGGTAAGTACCCAGAGTTGTTCTGGGTACTTTTAACTTGTATATTTTTGTCTGGTAGTGATACAAACCATTTCCTCTCTGGTTGAAAATATATGTTCAAAGGTTATGATTTTATTATCCTGTGGGACATTAATGAGCATTTTCTCTAACTCAGCAAACATATTTCATCACACTTTTCCAAACTAACTATACAAATATCTGCTTTTCAAAGTCTCTTTAAAACTGAGTCACCATACTGAGGGTTCTCATCAATGGGTTAAATAAGCTGTGAAATATCCTCACTTGATATTTGTAGGAATCATTTACTTTTCTTAATTTTTAAAAGTATATTTTGACAGCATTCTTCATCTTTAAGAGAAAAATGCATGTCATTCTTACATAAGCCAGAGTTACTAATGTGCCCCGACTGCTCCACCAAAAACAATAAAAGGGTTTTTATTTTTTTGCTTTATAAATGATAAGAATTGCATGTTTGTATATGGAGAGATAATCTATCTAAATTCCATTTAATTACATTAGAAACAAATAGGATTAACTATACAATTACTTTCCCTTGTAAAGGACAAAAGCAACCAGTTCAAAAGAGCTTTGTTTTAATGAAGAAAGAAAATCAGGAAATATACGCCATTATTGCATAATTTAAAAAGTAACCACCATTCCCTAACCCCCGCCACCAACCAATACAGACACACAAATTCATGCAGACATGCACATGAGCTCATGCAGAACTGCAGGTCCATGGCTAATTTCTTCCTAAGGCAGTCACAAAACAGCCACAGGGAGGTCAATAGGAGATATTAGCTTCCACAGTTGGACCTTGTAAATCTCACAATTTTGAAACTGGAGGTGAAGGAAAGGATTGCTCTTTATAGTAATGTAGGACTATGGCATCTAATGTTTTTCCATTACTCACTAATCTCCTTTATAAGAAAGAGAACAGGCCTCTGGCTTAGGCAGACAAAGTGCCTGGCTGGGAATTTATAGCTTAGCTTTTATTTTTCAGGTGTTTACTTCCTAGTTATCTTTTACTTATGACAAATAATTCTGGCCTTTCATTTTCCTTTTAATGAATTTCAAATAAAAAAAGGATAAATAATAGTACAAATGGTAGAAGGATATGAAAAAAACATTATGAATGTGTTGAGTAAACAACGAAAATTTGGGGAACACTCTGCTAGATGAAACTGATATTTGCAATAGAACTCGGTCTATAATTGCTGACCCCAAGCTATCTTTTAATGAATTGTTAAGGACAAACTCCTCCAGGAGGAGGTATAAGGCTAACTAGTAAAAAGTGATCACGAAATTGAGGGTTAAGAGACCTTTATTCAAGCACTGGACATGTCATTAGCTGGCTGTGAAATCTTGAGTGTGTAAACCTGATAAAATACAATTTCATGATTTCTAAAACTCCAAATGAATGATTTCTAAGGGTCCTTTTAACTTTAAAGTGCAGAGATTGGCTACTATGATCCACACTGATCTCTCCCTCATCTATACTCCTATTTTACATAATAGAGTTTAGCACTGATTTATTTTTAATTATTTCATAACTGCCAGTTTTGCCTTTCTATCAAGACTGTAGGATGGCTGAAGAGAG